>NC_000001.11:236335636-236487151 GCF_000001405.40 Homo sapiens
CCTGTCTCTGCTAAAAATACAAAAATTAGCTGGGCGTGGCGGCGCATGCCTGTAATCTCAGCTACTCAGGAGGTTGAGGCAGGAGAATCCCTTGAACCTGGGAGGCAGAGGTTGCAGTGAGCTGAGATAGCACCACCGCACTCCAGCCTGGGCAGCAGAGTGAGACTCTGTCTCGAAAAATAAATAAATAAATGAATAAATAAATAAATAAATAAATAAAATGGGTCAGTTATCCCCCTGGAAGTTTCCCCCAAGACACCAAGAATAGCTTCATTTTGGAGAGATCTCTGCAGTTACCTTAGGGCTACTTAATTCCCTCGTGGTGTTTTCTTAAATACTCTTAAGGTCTCTTAGGCCCACCCCTAAAATACAAATCCATGTATTTTGGAAGGAAGACAAATTAATGCATAGCTTCCACACCAGAAGTGCAGTGTCAGGGGACCACATGGTGCCCCTGGGAAAAAAAGTAACAACTGTTGGGATCCCCCAAGTAAGACCCATATCAGTTGAAGGGCATAGGTTGAGTGCCTCCAACATGGCTTCCTGGCAGGCTGAAAACCCTAGAGTTCCCAGCTTAGTGTGAATAATTGAGTCTAGTCCTTGTTTTGCTTCAAGTCCAGTTTATCCAGTTTGTCCACATCACCAACCAGGCAGTGTTCATCTACCCAAGGGATGACCAAGCAACATCTACAGAAATAGGGTGGGGAAGATGACCACAGGTGTTGACAGGTGTTTTGTGTGGGAGGTGCAGGAGTTGGGCCATCCCCTGCAGTGGCCTTTTTGGTCAGATGAAGAGGCATGACAATCAAACCATGGTTAGAGCTATCTGGCAGGGGATGGGAGGTACAATAGTCAGTTAAATGTCAAGGGCTTGTCAGGGTTTAGGAGACCTGCACCAGGGCATTTTCCTAGGTGAGGATGGCTTGAGGTACATTTCTGAAAGGCAAAAGATCATTAACATCAATCCCTCCCCGACACCACTTGGGGTCAAGGGTGTTCCCTCTCCAGGTACCTGAGTGTTGCTCCTCCCCCACCATCACACGCTCAGTAAGCCTACCCAGTAGCTAGAACTTCACCTTTTTTCAATCATCTCCCACCCACACCCGACCCTTCTATCTTGAATGGTCATGTACGACAGGGACAAAGGCATCTTTTAAAAACTTACAGAGGTTTATCATATGCTCCACACCTTGGCCCGCAGAGGTCATTATAGAGACACTCTGCAAACAATAGACTCAAACAAGTGGTCATTATCTTCAGAAAGGCAGGAAGTGGCTGGGCCAGGTGATTCACGCCTGTAGCCTCAACACTTTAGGAGGCCAAGGTAGGAGGATCCCCTGAGCCCAAGAGTTTGAGACCAGCCTGGGCAACATTGTGAAACCCCGTCTCTACAAATTTTTTTTAATTAGCTGGGCATGGTGGCATGCACCTGTAGTCCCAGCTACTCAGGAGGCTGAGGTGGGAGAATCGCCTGAGCCTGGGAGGTTGAGGCAGCAGCAGTGAGCTATGATGGAGCCACTGCACTCCAGTGTGGGCAACAGAGCAAGACCCTGTCTCTAAAAAAATAAAACATAAGAAAGAAAGGAAGTTTGGAAGATCTAGGGACCAAGAAAGCAAGAATCAATGGGTCATCAGAATAATGGAACACCAACAGTCCCTTTTCATTCTTGGTTTGAATCCTCAAGGTTCAATTTCAGAACAGACTTTTAATTTTGGCCTACTCTGATTCACTTGTCCACATTCACTAAGTTCCACTAAGACCACCTGCAGCTGGGGATGGTAGTACCCCAGAGGGACAAGAAAAGTATATTGGTTTAGCAAACCCAATACATGTCCATTATAGGAGGTCATGTTTCAGTCACATTTTTCCATTGGCAATCTTTTGACTTGTAAAGAAAAAATTAGTCACAACTCTTGTTAAAGATGGTAAGGGAGACTTTATTCAAGGTGGGCTCTGACAATGGGGTTTTGTAGTAAGGGAGAGAAACAGGGCTCAACCCTGAATACAAGGACCAGTGGAAATTTATAGCCAAGGAGTATGGTGAGTGTCAGTGGAGGGAAAATTACTAAGAGAAAACACCAGGGATAAGTTGGGATTCCGGCTAAACCACCTTGGCAGGATTACTGTGTAAGGCAGGCAAGGGTGACAAGATATTGAGGGTGGGGGATAAGGAGTTTGATCAGATATCAAGAAGGATCAGATAGGCTAGGCATGGTGGTGCACACTTGTGGTCCCAGCACTTTGGGAGGCCCAGGGGGGCGGATAACTTTAGGTCAGGAGTTGGAGCCGGCCTGGACAACATGGAGAAACCCTGTCTCTACTAAAAATACAAAAATTAGCCAGGCATGGAGGCACACACCTGTAACCCCAGCTACTCAGGAGGCTGAAGCAGGAGAATCACTTGAACCCGGGAGGCGGAGGTTGAAGTGAGCTGAGATTGCGCCACTGCACTTCAGCCTGGGTAACAGAGCAAGACTCCATTTCAAAAACAAAAACAAAAAGAATGGTCAGATAGCAAGTGTGAAGGATTTTCATTAAACTGATGCAGCAGGGTTCTTGCTAAAACTGGATTAAGTGGGCAGAGTCACTGGATGAAGGACAGAGCCCAAAGTTGGTGATTAGTCAGAAGAACTCAGAGGAGCCTGATTCTAGCTTGGTTAAAGGAGAGAGTCTTTGTCATGACTCATCCTATTTTTTGCAGCCACACATTTCATTAATTCTTTTATCAAACACACAGTAAGTGAGGAGCATTAAAACAGTAAAAACAACAACATATAAGCACTCTGGCAGAGACACAGGCAGTGCAACAACCCGCCTTGTTAGGTTTAGAATACATGATTCCAGGTCTGGGCGCAGCGGTTTATGCCTGTAATCCCAACACTCTAGGAGGCCAAGGCAGGAGGACAGCTTGAGGTCAGGAGTTTAAGACCAGCTTGATCAACTTAGCAAGACCCCGTCTCTGCAAAAAGAAAAAAAAATTTAATTAGACAGGCATGGTAGCATACATCTGTAGTCTCAGCTAGTCTGGTGGCTGGGGCAGGAGGATCACTTGAGCTCAGGAGTTGGAGGCTCCAGTGAGCTGTGATTATGCCACTGCTCTCCAGCCTGAGTGACAGCATAAGATCTTGTCTCAAAACAACAACAACAACAAAAAAAAAACCATGATTCCATGATTGAGTTATTACCACCATTTAATTAATTGACTTAATTGAAATTAAGATGAAGAATAACTCAGAACAACATCTTTTGAATAGAAGAATATGGGGACTATCTAGACCTGTACTGTCCCATACTGTGGCCAGTAGCCACACATGGCTAGTGAACACTTGAAATGTGGCTAGTCTAAACTGAGATATGCTATAAACTTAAATTTAAAACACACAATGGCTTTCAAAGACTTAGTATGACAAAGTCAGGCAGTACTGCAAGTCCAAGATTGCAAACACTGCAAATAATCTACAACTGATGGGAGTGGGTCTGAACATGGGAGGGCTCAACCTGAAAGTCCACGACGTCAGAAAAACCTGGAGGGTGGGGAATGAGTTCAGTCAGGACCTTTTTTTGTGATTCTGTACATGGCCAAAGAGAATTCACTGTGGGCAACATCTACATGCCTCACATTTTCAAATGAAATTTATCAGAATGGGTACAGACCACAGCCATAGACTAATTATGATTTAAATGAAAAATGGGCAGAATATCTGAATGGACATTTCTCAAATGAAACCTACAAATGGCTAACAAGTATATGAAAAAATGTTCAACCTTGCTAATCATCAGAAAAATGCAAATCAAAACTACGATGAGATATCATCTCACCCCAGTTTAAATGGCGTTTGTCAAAAAGTGAATAACAGAAGCTGGTGAGGATGCAGAGAAAGAGAAATCCTCATACACTGTTGGTGGGAATGTAAATTAGTACAGTCACTATGGAGAACAGTATGGAGATTCCTCAAAAAACTGAAAATAGGCTGGGTGTGGTGGCTCACTCCTGTAATCCCAGCACTTTGGGAGGCCAAGGTGGGCGGATCCCTGAGGTCAGGAGTTCGAGACCAGCCTGGCCAACATGGTGAAACCCCGTCTCTACTAAAAATACAAATTAGCCGGGTGTGGTGACGTGCACCTGTAATCCCAGCTACTGAGGAGGCCAAGGCAGGAGAATCGCTTTAACCCAGAAGGCTGAACCCACCACTTTACTCCAGCCTGGGCAACAACAGCAAAACTCTGTCTCAAAAAAAAAAGAAAAAAAAAAAAACACCTGAAAATAGAATCACCATATGATTGATCCAGCAATTTCACTCTTGGGTATATTCCTAAAAGAAAGGAAATCAATATATCAAAAAGATATCAGCACTCCCATGTTTATGGAGGCACTATTCACAATAGCAAAAACATGGAATCAACCTAAGTGCCCATCAATGGATGAATGGATAAAGATAACATAGTATATTTACACGATGGGATATTATTCAGTTATAATCCTGTCATTTGCAGCAACATGGATGGAACTGGAGGTCATTATGCTAAGCGAAATAAGCCAAGCACAGAAAGTCAAATATCACACGTTCTTACTTATATGTGTGAGCTAACAAAGTGAATCTCATGGAGGTAGAGAGTAGATTAGTGGTTACCAGAAGCCGGGAAGGATGGATGGGGAGTGAAGAAAAGTTTATTAATGGCTACAAATACACAATTTGATTGAAGAATAAGACCTCCTGTTACATCAGTAGGGTGACAATAGTCTACAGTAATCTATTGTATATTTCAAAATAGCTAGAAGAATTCAAGTGGTTTAAGCATAAACAAAAGACAAATATTTAAGGTGATGGTACCCCAAGCATGTTAATTTGATCTTTACAAATTATATGAATGTATTAAATTATCACATGTATCCTGAAACTATGTACATCTATTATACATCAATAAACTTTTTAAAAATGAATTTATACCCACTCCAATCCACCAAAGTGTGTCCTTTAGAGTCTTAGCCTCTCAATTTTGCGGTTTGGCTCCTTCCATTCTTGAAATCCCAACGCAAATCTCACCCCTTGCCTGAGTCTCATAAGCTAACCAACGACTTCACTGTCAAAGACCAAAGTGATTCATTCAAAACTATTTGATTTTGAGTGGCTACAAAATGCCGGGTGCTGTTCTAGGTGCTGGTAACACAGCAGTGAACGAAATAGGCCAAGACCTTGCTCTCATGGAGTCCATATATTAGAGGGCTTACTCCTCGGAATTTTCATGTTTACTCTTCCTTCCATTTGTTTGTTTGTGGGGTTTTTTTTTAGACGAAGTCTCACTGTTGTCACCCAGGCTGGAGTGCAATGGCATGATCTTGGCTCACTGCAACCTCCGCCTCCCAGGTTCAAGCGATTCTCCCACCTCAGCCTCCCCAGTAGCTGGGACTATAGGTGCGCGCCACCGTGCCCAGCTAATTTTTTGTATTTTTAGTAGAGATGGGGGTTTCACCATGTTGACCAGGTTGGTCTTGAACTCCTGACCTCTAGTGATCTGCCTGCCTTGGCCTCCCAAAGTGCTGGGATTACAGGCATGAGCCACCAAGCCCGGCCTATTCTTCCTTCCATTTATTGGGCTGCTCTGTTTTTTTGAGTTATCCTACCATATATGGGTGTGTATGACATTACGGTACGCAGGGGGAAATCCTTGTCTTATAAATATTAATAGACTTATGGTAAATGTTGTTTAGAATTGCAGTTTTGCCTTGGAGGATATCTCAGGTGATCACCTTGGAGGTGGTTCTCCTGAAAATTCCCTTGGAGAGCTGGTTCATACTCTGTGAGTCAGCACCTTTCCTGAGGAGGGCAGTGACCTGAAAGGTGATAAAACTAGCATTCTTGCATCAAGAAAAAGGATTACAAAGCTTTAAATACAGGTCTGCTATTCAGCTGTCAAAAAGTCCGCAAGGTGGCCAAATGTGTGTAGCCAAGTAATGGAACCTGTCAGCTCATGGGGCGGGGCGGCAGGGGCGGGTAGTTATTATCCCCAAAAGCAATGGGAAATTATTCCTCTAGTTAATGACTCTCCTTGACAGAAGCTTGACAATGGCATTGGTTCATTTATTATAGTGGTTAAGTAATTGTACAAATTAAGAAGCTTGCTCTAGGCACTTACAGTTTTATGATACAATCGAAGGTATTGTTTGCCATTAAAATTTTGTGGGTTCCTGATTTAGGAATCAGCTAATGAATCAGCTAATTCTGTATTAGTGTCAAGGTAATGAGATGAAAGTGTAACAAACGGCCAGGTGCAGTGGCTCGCACCTGTAATCCCAGCACTTTGGGAGGCCAAGGTGGGTGGATCACTTGAGGCCAGGAGTTCGAGATCAGCCTGGCCAACATATGAAACCCCATCTCTACTAAAAATACAAAAATTAGCTGAGTGTGGTGGTGCGCACCTGTAATCCCAGCTACTAGGGAGGCTGAAGAAGAGAATCGCTTGAACCTGGGAGGCAGAGACTGCAGTGAGCCAAGATTGCACCACTGCACTTCAGCCTGGGCAACAGGGCGAGACTCCATCTCAAAAAAAAAAAAAAAACCCAAAACAAAAACAAAAACAAAAAAACTAACGGCCGGGTACAGTGGCTCATGCCTGTAATCCCAGCACTTTGGGAGGCCAAGGCTGGTGGATCACTTGAGGTCAGGAGTTTGAGACCAGCCTGGCCAACATGGGGAAACCTCATCTGTACTAAAAACACAAAAAAAATAGCCGGGTGTGGTGGTGTATGCCTGTAGTTCCAGCTCCTTTGGAGGCTGAGGCAGGAGAATCACTTGAACCCAGGAGGCGGAGGTTGCAGTGAGCCCAAGATTGTGCCACTGCACTCCAGCCTGAGTGACAGAGTGAGACTCCATCTCAAAAAAAAAAAAAAAAAAAGTGTAACAAACTATTTGTACTTCCAGGAGTAAGCTGAACTCTGATAAATGAACCAACTGGGGTCTGGTAACTACCTTAATCTGTATGGTATAATAGAGATATGACAAGAAATATGGCTTCTGAAGAGCCTGATGATTTTGACGTGGGCATAAATAGCAATTTGTACTTGGTGATAAGATTTCTGATATTTACTTTCTCCTTTCTTTGGCAAGTACACAGGATAAAAAGTAACTAGAATGAATCCACTGTTTTTCCTCAATGTTTATAGAACTATAAAACTCTCAAGTTGACTTTACTAGACAGGGTTAGATAAATCTGGGATAAAGTTAGAATGATTTGCATTCCTAAAAGAGGACACAAAACTAGAACTGTCAGTTTAAAGAAAGCCCATTTTTATAACTAACATATCGACTAGGCTAGAGATTAATGAGTGCTGTTCAGAATGAAAAAACTTAATAAACTTGATGACTGGAAAACTTCTTCCATCATTCTCCCCTTTGTTCCACAGACCATCTTATTCAGCACAAGATGCCTTGCAGAATTGCAAAACATCAGGAAGTCAGTTAACATAACTGGGCTGTTAGCATTGCTTTTAAACGCCAAACCACTGCACAGCACGCCTACTATCCTTTGGGAACTAGCCACATTCCTGGAATATGCTTGACCCCCAAGAGTAAGAGGGACCACTGGGGACTTGCTCTTCTTCCATGATTCCCCACTCTTTTCTCACAAATAACACCTTGGACACTGCAGATTAATTACAACTTTCAGCAATTAGAAACCACCACCAGAGTACAAAATAGCTACTGAACGGAAAGAAGAGAAATGCCCTGCCTTTTCAAGGCGGAGCCAAACTTAGGAACCCACTGAGGACACTGCAGTCATTTTACAGAATCAGACACTTGCAACCCTGTAGGCATTTGCACACTGATTCAATAAGACAGAATGGGAAAGAGAACACACAGGCTTCAGCTTCATGGAAATAGAGACCAAATCTCTTTTTATTTCTATTTTTATCTCACCATTATAGACCCAGGTGATAGCACAGTGCCTGGAACAGAGTAGAGTAAGCACCCGTAACTGACCTCTGTTGCTATTTTTACTGCTACAGGTTGCACAGCAAGTACATGCTGAATGCTGCTGAAGTGGCAAGTCAGTGGGCCTGAGGGGGAGGCCAGGAGAGCACCATGCACAAAGGCCCCAAAGGGCATAGCTGCCCACAACTTCCTCACACTGCACTGTAGCAGGGCCCTTTTCACTTAATGCCATGAAGATTTGTTCCATTAGATTAAAAACAGTGAAGCAAGTTTAGCAGGTTCAATACTACATCGGGCATATTGTACTGTTGGAATTGCAGTCTTGCCAATGGCTAGGTGTTTATATCACTTAAGAAGATAGCTCCTAGTCCGGGAGCAGTGGCTCATGCCTGTAATCCCAGCACTTTGGGAGGCCGAGGCGGGCGGATCACTTGAGGTCAACAGCTCGAGACCAGCCTGGCCAACATGGTGAAACCCTGTCTCTACTAAAAACAAACAAAAAAAAATTAGCTGGGTGTGGTGGCACGTGCCTGTAATCCCAGCTACTCGGGAGGTTGAGGCAGGAGAATCACTTGAACCCAGGAGGCAGAGGTTGCAGTGAGCCCAGATCGCATCACTGCACTCCAGCTCGGGTGACAAGAGTGAAACTCCATCTCAAAGAAACAAACAAACAACAACAAAAAACAACTACAAAAAAAGAAGAAGATAGCTCTTTGGATCTGCCTCTCCAAATCTTTGGGTCCAGCACTGGCACTCCATTTACAATCATATTGAATTTCTTGGTATCACAGAAAAAAAACTCATCAGACAAAAAGCAAATGCTATTTTCTTATTTAAAAATTTAGGCTGGGTGTGGTGGTTCACGCCTATAATCCCAGCACTTTGGGAGGCAGAGGCAGGCAGATAGATTGAGTTCAAGACCAGCCTGGGCAACAGCAACATGGCGAAAGCTGGTCTCTAAAAAATATATATAAAATATATGTATACACACATATATATATATGTACACACACATATATATAAAATATATGTATACACATATATGTATGGAAAAAAATGGTACATGTCTGTAATCCCAGCTACTAAGGAGGCTGAGGTAGGAGGATCCCTTGAGCCCGGGAGGTGGAGGTTGCAGTGGGCCATAATTGTGCCACCCCACTCCAGCCTCGGTGACACAGAGACTCTTCTCAAAAAAAAATTTTTTTTTAAATGTAGTGCATTTTCTCTCACGCACACACATACACATGCATACACACTTGCAAAATCAAAAACAATAACCAAAGCCTCCCGTTCCAATGGCTCTAGTCTTCTCTAGGCCTGTTACTGCTCCATCTCCACACTGCCCCATGCTCTACCTCAAAGCACCTTCCGTGATGGCAGGAGAACAAGGGGAGGCACCTCCTGCCCGCCTCCTGTGAGGCTCCTACCAACACACTCTGCCCCGGGCATGCGGTCCCAGGGACTTGCTGGGTTTCCCTTATTGGTCAGAGTTCATAGAGCTGGTCCACCCTCCGCAAGGGGAAATGAAAGGTGTCTACCTCTCACCAGTGGTTGTCTTGCACCTGACATATAGGATGGTCAGCTCAACTAGCAGACTTGGAGCCAAAGGACCTGGGTCTGGTCATGGATAAAATAAACTCACTGTGGGGCTTGGGACACATGCTACCATAACACACCCACATGAGATACACACACGCACACAAAACTACAAATATGATAATTCAGCTGAATTATAGTGGTGGTTTCTTGATACCCAAATTCGAATGCCGGCTTCATTTTGGAGTAACGACTTTACCACCTCCCTGCATCCCATCCACTTCAGTGTTGCACCAGGACACCCTCTCATACCTCAACTCCTGCCGGGCCAACAACAAAAATTCATGACTCAAGTCCTACCTCTCAAGCTTTACTCATTACCTCCTAAATCTGGTAATCCCACCCTCATTTTCTTTCCCCCCAAAACCCACGACTTCCTGGGAACCTTCCAGATGTTTCTCACCCCTACAAACAATTGGTGCCAATTTGTCACACTGCCTAAGCTACATAATAGCCTGTTCTACAATTTTAACAACCAGGGCTTTGACTTGTAGCAAAAGCCTTCAAAGCTCCACTGCCTGTAATAGTTTGTAAGTAGCTGGAGATGGATTTTAATCAGTCTATTGTGCAAATATCTGAAGCAATAAGACATCTGACCAGTGAGTGACAGGGTAACTGAGACACTACAACAAAAAAGTTTCACCAAAATACAACCTTCCAGCAAACAGAAAATGGGGTCTCTGCTTCCATCTGTGAGTATGGGTACAAATGCCAATGATTATCACACTAGCAGGGAACAGGGAGCCCCCAGCTGGCCACTAGGCTACAAATACTGCCCTTCTCTCATTAAAAAAAAAAAAAAAATTAGGGCCAGACACGGTGGTTCACTGTGGGATTACAGTGCCTGGAATCTGAACATTTTCAGAAGCCCAGGTAGCAGAATCACTTGAAGCCAGGAGTTGAAGACCAGCCTGGTCAACAAAGCCAGACCCCATTTCCACAAAAAAAATTTAAAAATTAGCCAAGTGTAGGGGCACATGCCTGTAGTCCCAACTACTTGGGAGGCTGAGGTGGGAAGATCCCTTGAGCCCAGGAGTTTGAGGCTGCAGTGAGCTATGATTATGCCACTGCACTTCAACCTGGGTGACAGAGTGAGACCCTGTCTCTTAAAATAAAAAACAAACAAATTGGCCGGGCGCAGTGGCTCACGCCTGTAATCCCAGCACTTTGGGAGGCCGAGGCGGGTGGATCACCTGAGGTCAGGAGTTTGAGACCAGCCTGGCCAACATGGTGAAATCCCATCTCCACTAAAAATACAAAAATTAGCCAGGGATGGTGGCAGGCGCCTGTAATCTCAGCTACTCAGGAGGCTGAAACAGGAGAATCGCTTGAACCCAGGAGGCAGAGGTTGCAGTGAGCCGAGATCACGCCATTGAACTCCAGCCCAGGCCAACAACAGTGAGACTCCATCTCAAAAAGAAAAAAAAAAAATGTAATTAAATCCTGTGGCACCCACCTCTCTTTGCACACACTTGGGGGAGGGGCAGATCTGTACAAAGAGTGGAAAACAGGCTAACAAGGAATCTCAGGTACAGAAATGGGACATAACCAGTCACAAACATTTGAGGAAAACCACAAGCGGAAAGAATAACCTTATATATTTTTCTTTCTTTTTTCTTTTCTTTTTTTTTTTTTTTTAACAGAGTTTCACTCTTGTTGCCCAGGCTGAAGTGCAATGGCACTGTCTTGGCTCACCGCAACCTCCGCCTCCCAGGTTCAAGCAATTATCCTGGCTTAGCCTCCTGAGTAGCTGGGATTACAGGCATGCACCACCACGCCCAGCTAATTTTGTATTTTTAGTAGAGATGGGGTTTCTCCGTGTTGGTCATGCTGGTCTCGAACTCCCGACCTCAGGTGATCTGCCGGCCTCGGCCTCCCAAAGTGCTGGGATTACAGGTGTGAGCCACCACACCCGGCCTCATTTTTTTTCGAAAGGAGAACCTGCACTTGGAAAAAACAGTTTAAAAGAGTGAAAATCAGTGTAACTAAAATATGTATAGGGATAAGCAAGAATATCACAGCATGAAATGAGAGCAGGCAGTTATGAAAAGAAAGCCAGGCTGGGCCAGGTGGCTCATGCCTGTAATCCCAGCACTGTGGGAGGCTGAAGCAGGCCTCACCTGAGGTCAGGAGTTCGAGACCAGCCTGGCTAACACGGTGAAACCCTGTCTCTACTAAAAACACAAAAAGTAGCCAGGTGTGATGACGCGTGCCTGTAATCCCAGCTACTCTGGAGGTTGAGGCAGGAGAATCGCTTGAACCCAGGAGGTGGAGGTTGCAGTGAGCCGAGATCTCACCACTGCATTCCAGCCTGGGCAACAGAGCAAGACTCCATCTAAAAATAAGAATAATAATAAGAAGAAGAATTAACTAGAGATCTTGGACACACAAACAGCTACTGAAAGAAAAAGAAACCCTCAAGAGGTGGGCAAAACAGCAGAGCGGGCACTGCTGAAAAGCAAACCAGAGAGCTGGAATAAATACGAAGCCAAGGAATTCTCCCAGAAGGTAACTTAAGGGATAAAATGATCAAAGCTTTATGAAAGACAGACAAAGAATTATGGAGGACAGATTTAAACGCCGCAGCATAATCCACAGACATTCATCCCATTGATTTGGCTGTAGTCTTTCCTGCCATCTTCTTAGCCAAAATTAAAGCACCTTAGCGGCTCTGCTTTTTCCCAATTACAATCGGCTTCCGCCCCGTGGTGCTGGTTTGGGCTTGGGGGTCCTGGGTGGGGACCCCCGGGGTTGCCCCGTGGTTCCCCTCTTAGCACTGTAACTTCCTGGGCGCCAAACAGGCTGCCCAGGCAGCCCGGAGGAGCAGCAGCTTCAACGCAACCCAGTACCCAGCCCTGCGACTCCCCAGCCACTCTGGAACATGCTGCCCGTCGAGCAGTGGTCCGAGGTGACCTTCGGGGCGGTGAGAGAGTCCAGAGGTCAGAGGAGGAGGAACCCGTCGGGCGGTGAGAAAGCTTTACCCCGCCCCCTGGAAGCCCACCGAGGGCAGGCAGATGCCAGGCGCGGCGACTTCATTTGCGTCTCTGCAACGCCCACCCTGCAGTGCCACGCCCCCGAGCGCGAAGCCTTCTGGGAGTTCTGATCCCGGACGACCGTAAGGTAGGGCCCTACAGACTGACTGGGGAGCCAGTTGGGGAAACTCGTGAACAGCAACTGCGGTGGCGGCTCCGCCTCCTTGGGGCTGGAGCTCCCCGACGGCCAATGAGGCGGGACACGTGGGCCTCCAAAACACCCTGAGGTGCCTGCCGGGCTGCTGGGCGCGCTCTTCTTGGCCCAGCCAGCCGTCGCCGCGCCCCTCCCTGGGTCCTCCCACATCCCCGGTTACAGCCTCTAAATGTAGCATTTGCGCCCTCACCCTGCACAGCCTTGATTTTCCAAAGATAGGCCTGGACTTTTGCAAACAGGGGGCTCTCCTCCTTCATGAGTCTTTCTGTAGCCTCATACCTACAGGCTATGTTAGAAATTACACCAGTGACTTGTAGGATCCTGGAGTAAACAGAAGCTGCTTTCGGAAATCTGGTACCTTGCTCGGTCCGCAGGTGCAAACTCAAAGACCTACTTCCAAGCTGCCGTCCATGTGCTGCCCAATGAAGCTGCAACACGTGAACCTCTGTGGAAGGCGCCCACCTTTTCTCCAGTCCTTCTCTCACTGAGTGCCCTATCAAAATGGAAGAATCCCTGAATGAACCCATTTCAAGTTTGAATTGTGGTAAAATATTGCAATCCCAAGTGTTGGTTGCCTACAGCTTCCTACTGATTTTGGCTGGTGTCTAAAAAGAAGGTACCCCCAAAATAAAATAAAAATAAAAACAAGGCCCAGAAATGTCTCCTGTGTTAGCCCAGTAAATAGTTGATTTTCTTTTCTTTCCTTTTTTTTTAGAGACAGGGTCTTGCCATATTGCCCAGACTAGATTCAAACTCCTGGGCTCAAGTGATCCTCCTGCCTCAGCCTCCCAAGGAGCTGGGACTACAGGCAGGCACCATGGTGTACTCAAAATTTTTTTTGAGAGGGAGTTTGCTCTGTCACCCAGGCTGGACTGTAGTGATGGGATCTTGGCTCACTGCAACTCCATCTCCCGGGTTCAAAGCGATTCTCTCCTGCCTCAGCTGCCCCAGTAGCTGGGACTACAGGCGTGTTGCCCAAAAGAGTCAAACTCTGTAAAATATTTTAAGAGATTTATTCTCTTAAATATGAGACGGCCAAATATGAGTGGCCATGTTGCGTGACATGTGCCCAAGGTGATCAGAGTACAGCTTGGTTTTATATATTTTAGGGAGGTATGAGACATCAATCAAATACATTTAAGAAATACATTGGTTTGGTTCAGAAAGGCGGGACAACTCAAAGCGGGGTGGCGGGGGTGGGGGTGCTTCCAGGCTATAGGTAAATTTAAACATTTTCTGGTTGACAATTGGTTGAATTTATCCTGGAATCAAGAGAAAGGAAATGTTCAGGTTAAGATAAAGGATTGTGGAGACCAAGTTTTATTGTGTAGAGGAAGTTCTCCGATAGCAGACTTCAGAGACAGCAGGTTGTAAAATGTTTCTTATCGGACCTCAAAGGGTGTCTGGCTCTTAGTTGATTATCTCCTGGATCTGGAAAGGAAGGAAGGAAAAAAAAAGGGCAGTGGTGGGGGAGGGTGGTGGCAGGCGCGGTGGCTCACGCCTGTATTCCCAGCATTTTGGAAGATTGAGGCAGGCAGATCGCCTGAGGTCAGGAGTTCAAGACCAGCCTGGCCAACATGGCGAAACCATGTCTCTACTAAAAATACAAAAACTAGCCGGGTGAGTTGGTGCACACCTGTAGTCCCAGCTACTCAGGAGGCTGAGGCAGGAGGATTGCTTGAACCCAGGAGGCAGAGGTTGCAGTGAGCCGTGCCACTGCACTCTAGCCTGGCGACAGAGTGAGACCCTGTCTCAAAAAAACAAAAACAAAAAAGAACAATGAAGAAAAGGGGGAAAGAGGATTCTCTGTAGATGTGGATTTTTCCCACAAGGGATGGCTTTGCAGGGCTATTTCAAGATGTGGCAGAGAAACACGTTTTGGGGTAAAATATTTTGATTTTCTTCCTTGTTATGCCAGGGTCAGATTGGAAAGTAAGTCATGATATATAGGGTCAAATAAAACCCATGTGATGAGAATTTATGGTTTGTAGGGCATATCCCTTAGATAGGAATTTGGGCAAGATTAAAACAAAAAATCAGGTCTTAGTCCTCAGGTGTGTGCCACCACACCCAGCTAATTTTTTATTTTATTTTTTGTATTTTTAGTAGAGACAGGTTTTCACCAAGTTTGCCAGGCTGGTCTCGCACTCCTGACCTCAGGTCATCCTCCCGCCTCGGCCTCCCAAAGTGCTGGGATTATAGGCGTGAGCCACCAGGCTGGGACAGAATGAGAGTTCTGTTGAGCTGAGCAGAGGCGGTTGGCTTGGTAGACAGAAAAAGGCTGAGGAAAGTATTAGTAGAAGCTGAGAACAAAAAGCAGATTGGTCCTTTCAAAGTTATTTTCCTCCTACAGCTTTGAGAGAAGAAAAATAGCTCCAAGCATTCTGAGCTCTGTAAAGTACTCGGGACCAGAGAGACAGGAGTGTGAGACTTCAGTCATGCCTGCCTCCAGCCCTCCCCTGCCCCATACCTGGGGTCAATTGTTTAAGGTAATTTTGTTCCTGACTAGCTGCCTCACCCAGTGTCTTCCTGTTCCTGGAATTTGTGATACAAAGAATAATGTATAGCCAATCAATAGCTTATATTATTTTAATGTGAAATCTTGGTAAACAATTTAGGAACTGCCTCTTCTTTTCCTTTAAAAACCTCAAGGTAGTAGGTCCCTGCATTCCCAAGTACTTGGGAGGCGGAGGCAGGAGGATTGCTGGAGCCCAGGAATTGAAGGCTGTGGTGAGCCATGATTACACCACTGCACTCCAGCCTAGGCGACGGTGAGACCCCATCTCTAAACAAAACAAAATTTTAAAACCCTACTTGTAATTGTTACTAGTCCCAGTGAATATTCACTGGGCAGCTTGAATCTATGCTCTCGGGAAGCAATCTCAAGCTTGGCCCAAATAAACTATTTACATTAATTTTGCCTCAGCCTCTTCCTTTTAGGTAGACAGGTTAAAGCAGAGGGGGCTTCCTTATCATGTTGATACCGGTGGGCCAGAGGAGGTCTCCAAATACCAGTGGGACCTTGACCGTGGCCGGTGTCCAGGCTCTTGACACCCTCTCAATAAGGAATTCAAGGATGAATGAGGAGGCTGGGCGCGGTGGCTCATGCCTATAATCCCAGCACTTTGGGAGGCCAAGGCAGGCAGATCAAGAGATAGAGACCATCCTGGCCAACATGGTGAAAACCCATCTCTTCTAAAAATACAAAAATTAGCCGGGCGTGGTGGCGCATGCCTGTAATCCCAGCTACTCGGGAGGCTGAGGCAGGAGAATCGCTTGAACCCAGGAGGCAGAGGTTGCAGTGAGCCGAGATCACCCCACTGCACACTAGCCTGGCAACAGAGCGAGACTCTGTCTCAAAAAAAAAAAAAAAAGAATGAGTGAGGAAATAGTGAAAACAGGGAGATTTATTGCAGAGTGAAAAGTATACACTCAAGAAAAGGGAATGTATGTGTACTCACTAGAGAGTCACACACAAGGGGGTTTGGGGGTGCTACCTTTATGGGTTTTTTTAATCAAGGGGCTGAATATTCATGAGAATTCCTGGAAAAAGGTGGAGGTTTCTCGGAACTGTGGTGCCACTCATTTTTACACCAAATATGGATGTTCCCAGAACTGTCATGGCGCTGGGGGGTGTGTGTTTGGTATGTTAATGAGTGTATAATGAGGTCCCAGGTGAAACCTAGGTCACTCCAGTGCCATGTTGGGTCCAGTCAGTCTTAGCCAGCTTGGCCCACACCCTGGTTTTTTCAGGGTCTTATCAGCCCATAGCTTCTGTAGCTATTTACAGTTTCCTTTGGCTGCTCATGTGAAACTGCCGCCTAGAATATTCTATTCTCCTATGACCACCCTGTATTATTTCCGTCTCAATGCCCGCTAAAACTGGCCTTTTAGTTATTGGTTAGGTTATTATCTCTGTCTCTCCTGATTTCTTGGAAGATCAGATAAACAACTTAGGTTTGGCTTGGTGGTGTGGAACTTCAGCATGAATGGCTCCATTTTAGTTTGGTCTGTTGAGCCAAGTGCAGGAGCTCAGTCTAAACCAATAGCCTCCCGTAAATTTTATCTAATAGACTGGGTTCAGTGGCTCGTGCCTATAATCCCAGCATTTTGGGAGGTCTAGGCAGGAGGATCATTTGAAGCCAAGAGTTCAAGATCAGCCTGGGCAACAAAGCAAGAACCCCATATCTACAAGAAATAAAATAAATTAGCCAGGGCCAGGTGTGGTGGCTTACGCCTGTAATCCCAGCACTTTGGGAGGCCAAGGCGGGTGGATCACTCGAGGTCAGGAGTTCAAGACCAGCCTGGCCAACATGGTGAAACCCTGTCTCTACTAAAAATACAAAAATTAGCCGGGCGTGGTGGTGGGCACCTGTAATCCCAGCTACAGGGGAGGCTGAGGCAGGAGAATCGCTTGAACCTGGAAGGTGGAGGTTGCAGTGAGCCAAGATTGTGCCACTGTACTCCAGCCTGGGCGACAGAGTAAAACTCCATCTCATAAATAAATAAATAAGCCAGGTGCAGTGGTGTGTGCATGTAGTGCCAGCTACTCGGGAGGCTGAGGCAGAAGGATCACTTGAGTCCAGGAGTTCAAGGCTGCAGTGAGCTATGACCATGCCATGGCACTTGAGCCTGGGCAACAGAGCAAGACTCCGTCTCTAAAAAAAAAACAACAACAACAAATTATCTAACAGTAATAATGGTACTAACAGTAGTGAATTTAGGGCAAGCACACCACATGCCTCATGGCTCATCCTTTCTTGGGATTGTCACAGGACTCCAGCCTTGAACTGAGGCAGCCTCACTTCACAGGCCAGGGTTGTTACCTCTCATCCCCCACAGACCTGGGATTTGTTTCAGCTCTGCAGGAGAGAACTGTGTGACCTTGGGCAAACTCTTCCCCTCCTGGTCTCCCTTATCTGTATCTGCACACAGCTATGATAAGTGGTGGTAAAAGTCGTTCTAGCTCTGAGTTTGTAGGATTATTGGACACCCACTGTGCATGAGGTGACTGCTTACACAAGGAGATGTTACATTAAGATGTTGGACAGCCAGGCGCGGTGGCTCACACCTGTAATCCCAGCACTTTGGGAGGCCAGGGCAGGTGGATGACGAGGTCAGGAGTTCAAGACCAGCCTGGCCAACATGGTGAAACCCTGTCTCTACTAAAATACAAAAATTAGCCGGGCGTGGTGGTGGGCACCTGTAATCCCAGCTACTCAGGAGGCTGAGGCAGATAATTACTTGAACCCGGGAGGCGGAGGTTGCAGTGAGCCAAGATCGCACAACTGCACTTCAGCCTGGGCAACAGAGCGAGACTCCAACTCCAAAAAAAAAAAAAAAAAAAAGATATTGGACTAAGGTTGGTGTTTAAATGGACCCTATTTGGTAGTTACTCGACTGTGTGTAATATTTTAGTTGTTAAATGAGGTGGCATCTTTTCATCATTTGGCTTTTCTACCTTTTACCCAGAACAGGCACCAGATAATCAGCTTCTGGTGTTGCTTAGCAAAATGACAGCTCTTTCCTTAAAAAAAAAGTTTTTTTTTGCAAGAGAAAAGACAGATTTGTATTCATGTATCTATGGGAGTTCAGGGGAAAATGTGACTCTAGCTCTTTCATTTAAAGCTCGTTAGTTCTCTTGTAGCTGGAGACATTTTTTCTCTTCTGCTCTTCGGGTTGCGAGGCTTAGGGATTCTAAGACACTAAGCCTTGCCTTTGTAATCCTGTTTTATAAGGCTATTTTCTCCTTTGAAGATGAACTCTCAATCATTTAGATACTTAAAAGCCTAGACACAGCACAATTTATTCCTATAATGTACTGACCTCAAATACCAAGTAGGTATTGCAGCGCCTACCCAGGAAACAAACCTTGGCTTGTGCACAAATGACTTACACACATGAAAGTGCCAGGATAAACCCAGGGGTTTTCAGAGAAAATATCAGAATGAGGGAAAAGGCTAGAATATAGAATGTCAGATATACTTGGGTTCGAATCCAGCATTCTCCCTTCTTGGCTCTGTGACCTTGGACAAATTAATTAAACTCTCTGAGCCTCAGGTTCCCCAGCCATAAGATGATGATAACATCTGTGATCTGGGAGAGCCAAGTTGGCATCCCTTTATCAACTAAGACAAACCTTTAGGTTACAGAAACAAAAGTTACCAACGAATGAAGGGTTCAGGGCTCAGCTGGCATGGCAATTTCCTAAATTCCTGTGGCTACAAGAAAAACCACACTCTTGCTAAACTCCCTAACAGTAGGAATTATCAGGCAAATTGTCAGACACTTCCTAAGTCTGATGTACAATCCAGACCACTACAGCCCTGATTGGACAGAGACCTGGCCTTAGAAACACTTTCCTGATAAGTAACTGCCAACCTCAAGCCAGTTTCAGCAAATTGTAGAGACTGCACACACAAATTATCTCTGTGTCCTGTAGGTCACCTTTAACGTAAAGAGCCAAATTCCATCTCAGTTTAAAGCCAAAACCCTTCCCCAAAGTGAACATGGGATGGATATTACATATATGTGTAGCCATTGTGCATGCATTTGGCTCCCCTCATAAATATGTACAGCTTTCCTCCAAAACCTGAATATATATGACTATTGTGTAATACAGACCCTGTGAGGCACAAAAACCATCCTGCCCTTTCCCTCTTTGAAGAGAAAGCACCTTTATTACATGCCAAAACTGTCTCTTCCTGGTTTGCAAACCGATATCACAAAGCTCTCCTTTCTACTGTTAAGCCATCCTGGTGGTCTTTTGGACCATACATCTCATAGATTAGTTTTAAAGACTAAGTGAGAAACAATACAATATGAAATACATTCAGTATATCTGAATTGAGTGAAGTAGATGGCCCATATTTACTGCTACGTTGCTGTTGTGATTGTTATTTTCTTCCTCTTGTTGTCATCCACTTGTGTATTTTTCAAAGTACTTTCACTCATTCCATCACTTCTTTTTCTGTCACTCTTTTATCCTAGATTAAGACATGTTCAAACCATGACTAGCTTCAAAATGTATTTGTGTGTTAGACTGTTAGCCCTCTCTAATCTCTCTTTGATGTTTTGCTAATGCATCCTGTGCATGCTCTGTGCTTATTCTTACATTTCCCATCCACTCATTCTCTTCTGCTTCTTCTTCTTTTTTTTTTTTTTTTTTTTTTTTTTGAGACAGAGTTTCGCTCTTGTCACCCAGGCTGGAGTGCAGTGGCACGATCTCGGCTCACTGCAACCTCAGTCTCCCGGGTTCAGGTGATTCTTGTGACTCAGCCTCCCAAGTAGCTGAGATTACAGGTGCACACCATCATGCCTGGCTAATTTTTGTATTTTTAGTAGAGACAAGGTTTCACCATGTTGGCCAGGCTGGTCTCGAACTCCTGACCTCAGGTGATCCACCCACCTCAGCCTCCCAAAGTGCTGGGATTACAGGCATGAGCCACCACTCCTGGCTCACTCATTCTCTTCTGGACCTCACAGCTGATTGCTCCTGTCTTCATCACACCAAACCCATGACCGGTTCTAAGGCTCCTGTCAGTGGATATTTGTCAGGCTAAACTCTTAAAAACATGGGGCACATGTTCCCAGGACCTCCTGAGGGCTGTATCACAGGCAAAAAATATATATGTATATATTTTAAAAATAGAGTTTATTTTATGCAGATAAAAAACTCATCAGTGTCTGCCTGCAGCATCTTATCAGACTCCTGAGACTGGATTTCAGATCTTCCAAAATTTGGGAAGATTGCTTGACAGGCCAGCAGAGAGTAGGGCAGAGAGGAAAAACTTAGCAGTTATTTTATGGCTTTCAGGGCTCAGTGACTTCATCTCAGGATACCAGCAGTAGCCTCTCCCTAGTCCTTCAACCCAGAGCTCTGACATGAATTCTGGATGAAGGTTATGGAGCAGGGGAGGAAGGGAGGAGATGAATATTTCTGGAAACAGTAGAGATTCTCAATGAGCAATCAAAATAGCCTCCTATCAGAGGAGATGCACTGATAAGAACAAGACAGCCCTTTATGCCATTTTCTGGAGCAATTATGTTTACCGGGCACTCTGGCTTAGCCCGGAGAACAATGATTCTCCCCCAGGGATCCCCAGACCCCAGTTTGAGTATCAGTGTTCTTGCAGCTAGGCCAGAGGACCTTTCTGCAAGGGGCCTGTGAGGTCAAAGCTATTTTCATAGTATACCATGATATTCTTTGTCTTTTTAACTGTGCTAACATTTGCACAGTTAAAAACAATGGTGGGTAAAATGGTAAAATTGATAAAATGGCAAAATAAATTAAATGATATGTAAATGGTGGGCTATAGCAAGAATCAAGGCTGTGGCTTCAAACAGTACGAATAATCATAGTCTCTACTACCGTGTACTTACAGCCCCTTTAAAACAAAACAAAACAAAAAAAAAAACCACACCAATTTGGCTTAAGAATGTTCTTGATGAGGCCAGGGGTGGTGGCTCACACCTGTAATCCCAGCACTTTGGGAGGCCGAGGTGGGCAGATCACCTGAGGTCAGGAGTTCGAGACCAGCCTGGACAACATGGAGAAAACACGTCTCTAATAAAAATACAAAAATTAGCCGGGCATGGTGGTGCATGCCTGTAATCCCAGCTACTATGGAGGCTGAGGCACTAGAATTGCTTGAACCCAGGAGGGGGAGATGGCAGTGAGCCAAGATTGCGCCACTGCACTCCAGCCTGGGCAACAAGAGTGAGGCTCTGTCTCAAATAAAAAATAAAAAAAAAAAGTTTTTGATAGAGCAATAAAAATGATTGATTTCATTAAAACTTAATCTTTGAGTACATATCTTTCTAATATTCTGTGTGACAAAATAGGAAGAATGCAGAAAGCACTTCTGCTGCAAATCCAAGTACAATGGTTATCTTAAAGAAAACAGTCATCTGGTTCAGCTGTGAGCTGAATCAGCAGGCTTTTTCACAAAATACTGCGTTAGTCTGTTTGTGTTTCTATAAAGGAATGCCTGAGGCTGGGTAAGTTATGAAGAAAAAAGGTTTATTTGGCTCAGTTCTGCGGGCTATACAAGAAACATGAGAACCAGTCAGTTATCTTTCAGTTGTTCTGTCTCCCTGTCCTTGCCTGTATTAGGCCATTCTTGCATTACTATAAAGAAATACCTGAGACTGGGTAATTTATAAGAAAAGAGGTTCTTCCAGCTTTACAAGCGTGGCACCAGCATCTGCTTGGCTTCTGGGGAGGCCTCAGGGAGCTTTTACTCATGGTAGAAGGTGAAGCAGGAGAAGGCACTTAACATGAGGAAAGCAGGAGCAAGAATGAGTGCAGCAAGAGGTGCCACAGACTTCACAAACCAGATCTCCCGAGACCTCACTCGCCAGTGTGAGAATAGCACCGAGACGTGAGGGATCTGCCCCAGTGACCTAAATACCTTCCACCAGGTCCCACCTCCAACATGGGGATTACAGTTCAACATGAGATGTGGCGGGGATGTATATTCAAACTATATCACCACCTTACAAGGAAAGTAACTTTATTTTATTTAATTTTTTTTTTTTGAGATGGAGTTTCGCTCTTTTGCCCAGGCTGGAGCGAAATGGCATGACCTCGGCTCACTGCAACCTCTGCCCCTTAGGTTCAACCAATTCTCCTGCCTCAGCCTCCTGAATAACAGGGATTATAGGTGCTGCCACCACACCCGGCTAATTTTGTATTTTTAGAAGAGATGGGGTTTTGCCATGTTGGCCAGGCTGGTCTCAAACTCCTGATCTCAGGTGTTCCACCCAACTTCACCTCCCAAAGTGCTAGGATTACAGGCACGAGCCACTGCACCTGGCCACAAGGAAAGTAACTTTAAAATGACCAGTCTGCTTTTTGTTCTTTGTTTCTGATTTATTCAGCCCTTTCTGTTTATAAAGACAATTCCCTTTGCTCAACTCATTGGAATACTTATTCTATTTTATGGAATGAACTGTTGCCCAATTCTACAATCACAATAAAGCCAACTGAGATCTTTAACTAAATTCATTATGAGTTTGTCTTTTGACAATATGCAAAGAATTTTAAAAATATTTTTGGTTATTTCTTGTCTTCTGCTAGCTTTGGCATTTGTTTGCTCTTGGTTCTCTGGTTCTTTTAGTTGTGATGTTAAGGGGTCAATTTGATGTGGGCATTTAGTGCTATAAATTTCCCTCTTAACACAGCTTTAGCTGCATCCCAGGGTTTCTGGTACATTGTCTCTTTGTTCTCATTGGTTTCAAAGAACTTCTTGATTTCTATCTTAATTTCATTATTTACCCAAGAATCATTCAGGAGCAGGTTGTTCAATTTCCATGTAGTTGTGTGGTTTTGAGTGAGTTTCTTAATCTTGAGTTCTAATTTGATTGTGCTGTGGTCTGAGAGACTGTTTGTTATGATTTCAGTTATTTTGCATTTGCTGAGGAGTGATTTACTTCCAATTATGTGATCAATTTTAGAGTAAGTGCCATATGGCACCAAGGAGAATGTATATTCTATTGTTTTTGGGTGGAGAGTTCTGTAGATATCTATCAGGTCCACTTGATCCAGAGCTGAGTTCATGTCCTGAATACCTTTGTTAATTTTCTGTCTTGATGATCTATCTAATATTGATAGTTGGGTGTTAAAGTCTCCCAATATTATTGTGTGGGAGTCTAAGTCTCTTTGTAGGTCTCTAAGAACTTGTTTTATGAATCTGAGTGCTCCTGTATGAATTAGTAGATGGTCCTAAGCACAGTTGTAAAAGAGGTAAACTTGATCTTCAAATTCTCCACATCTTTTTGGAACCTTTTTGTCCTACTAGGATCCCTTTCCTGATGTCATCTCACCCTCACTCTCTAGATATTTAGTCCCCTATTGGCTGCACACTGTCCTTTTTAACCACTGCTGTGGTCTGAATGTATCCCCCAAATTCCTATATTAAAAATGTAATTCCCAATGCAACAATCTTAGGAATTGGAATGTTTAGGGAGGTCATGAGGGCTCTGCCCTCATTAATAGATTCATTCCATTATAAAAGGGCTTGACTGAAGGGAGTTTGAGCTCTTTTGGCCTTCAACCTTCCGCCATGTGAGGACATAGTGTTTAAGGTGCCATCTTGGGAGCAGAGATCTGATCTTCATCAGACAGCCAACCCTGGTGGCACTTTGATCTTGAACTTCCCAGCTGTATTAGTCCATTTTTACACTACTGATAAAGGTATAACCTAGACTGGGCAATTTACAAAAGAAAGAGGTTTAAGGGACTTATAGTTCCCAGTGGCTGGGGAAGCCTCACAGTCATGGCAGAAGGCAAGGAGAAGCAAGTCACGTCTTACGTGGATGGCAGTAGACAAATAGAGAGAGCTCGTGCAGGGGAACTCCTCTTTTTAAAACCATCAGATCTCATGAGACTTACTCACTATCATGAGAACAGCATGGGAAAGACTTGCCACCATGATTCAGTTACCTCCTACAGGGTCCCTCCCACAACACATGGGAATTCAAGATGAGATTTGGGTGGGGACACAGCCAAACCATATCACCAGCCTCCTGTTAGAAATAAATTTCTGTTCTTTATAAATTACCTAGTCTGTGATATTTTGTTATAGCAACACAAGTGGGCTAAGACAACTACTAAAATCTTCCCCTAAATAGATATCTATTTCTCTAGAAAGCCAACAAAGCATGACATTAAGACTGTGGGGCCAGGTGTGGTGGCTCACTCCTGTAATTCCACCACTTTGGGAGGCTGAGGCAGGAGGATGGCTTGAGGCCAGGAGTTCAAGACAAGTCTGGTCAACATAGCAAGAGCTTGTCTCTAAAAAAGAAAAATTAAAAAAAAATTAGTTAGATGTGGTGGTGTACACCTGTAGTTCCAGGTACTTGGGAAGCCAAGGCAAGGGTAAATTGAGCTCAGGAGGTCAAGGCTTTAGTTAGCCATGATTGAGCCATTGCACTCCAGCCTGGACAACAGAGCTAGATCCTGTCTTAAAAAAAAAAAGAAGAAGAAGAAGTGGGGATTTCAGGTACTTAGGAGACTAGAAGGAGAAAACAGGTAGCCTTATGACATCCATCCAAGGTCACACAGAGATTCATCTACTGGCCTGGATAAATTATTACTGTGTGGTTACCAAATATATCAGACAGGATCTATCAGGTAAATAGAAGCAACCTCAAATATTCAGGACAGAGGGATTTTAATTCACGGTTTTTTTTTTTTTTTTTTTTTTTTTTGAGACAGAGTCTTGCTCTGTCACCCAGGCTGGAGTGCAGTGGTGCCATCTTGGTTCACTGTAACCTCCACCTCCCAGGCTCAAGTGCCACTTCCACCTCAGCCTCTCAAGCAGCTGGGACCACAGGTGTGAGCCACTGTGCCCAGCTAATTTTTGTATTTTTTTGTAGAGACAGGGTTTTTCCATGTTGCCCAGGGTGGTCTCAAACTCCTGAGCTCAAGTGATTTGCCCACCTTGGCCTCCCAAAGTGCTGGGATTAGAAGTGTGAGCCACCACACCCAGCCAGGGGTACTTTTTTACACTAGTGATGAAGGAATTGGGAAGCCAAACTGGATAGTGAGGTGAATCAGAGATCAGCCAGAGTAGGAAGGCAGCCAACATTAAGGACACAAGGAAAGAGGCAGCATTGCCAGGGCCTGGAAACAGGTGTTGGAGTGACACCCAAAATAGTCTCATTTTAAGGTTTTTGTAAAAAACAAAAACAAAAACAAACGAACCTGCTGTATTGACATACAGTTGACACACAACAAAGTGCACATATCTAAAGTATAAAACTTGATAAATGTTCATGTATGTGTACATCTGTGGAAACATTACCATATTGAAGACAGTGAACAAGTCTATCATCTCCAATGGTTTCCTCACAACCCTGTGTAATCCCTTTCCCCTACGCCACCAGTCCTTAAGCAACAATGATCTACTTTATACCACTGTCAATTCCTTGGTTTTGTTTTATATTTTATCTTATTTTATTTTATATTTAATTTTATTGAGATGGAATCTTGCTCTGTCACCCAGGCTGGAGTGCAGTGGCGCGATCTCGGCTCACTGCAACCTCCACCTCCGGGTTCAAGTGATTCTCCTTCCTCAGCCTCTCCTTCCTCAGCCTCCCGAGTAACTGGAATTACAGGTGCCCACCACCACACCCAGCTAATTTTTGTATTTTTAGTAGAGACAGGGTTTTGCCATGTTGGCCAGGCTGGTCTCGAACTCCTGACCTTCAGTGATCTGCCCACCTCGGCCTCCCAAAGTGCTAGGATTACAGACGTGAGCCACCACGCACAGCCAAATTTTATATATATATATATTCCTTCATACCATAGGTATTCTACTTTTGTCTAGCTTCTTGCATTCAGAATAATTATTTTCGGATTCATCTATGTTGTTAGTATCAGTGGTCCCTTTTTATTGTTCCATAATACTATGGCTTTTGTGTGGCTATACCACAATTTGTTTATTCATTCACCTACTGTTGGTCGTTTGGGTTGTTTCCAGTTTGGGGCTATTACAAATACTTTTCTGAACATCCGTGTATACGTTTTTGTATAATTATATGCTTTCTTTTATCTTAGGGAAATATTTAGGCATGGAATGCCTGGATTGTATGGTAGACGTATGTTTAACATTTTAAGAAATTGTCTAATGGTTTTCTAAAGGGGCTTTGTCACTTTACAGTCTCACAAGCAGAATAGGAGAGTCCCAGTTGCTCCAATATTTACCCGCAATTGGTATTGTCATCTGTTTCTTTTTTGAGACAGGATTTCGCTTTGTCATCCAGGCTGGAGTGCAGTGCTACAATCATAGTTCACTGTAACCTCAAACTCCTGGGCTCAGTGATGCTCGCACCTTGGCCTCCCAAAGTATTGGGATTACTTGTCATCTTTTTAAATCTCTGCCATCTAAAGAGTCTGCAGTGGCATCTTGTTGTGGCTTTAATTTGCATGTATGGAACAACCGATGATGTTGAGCGTCTATTTGTGTGCCTCCTTGCCACCCATATATCTTTCTGGTGAATTGCCTGCCTAGATCTTTAGCCTAGTTTTAATTGTGCTGTTTGTTTTCTTATTGTCAAGTTTTGCGAGATATTTATTTATGATGGATACAAATCCTTTATCAGGTAGATGCTTTGCAAAACACTTCCCCAGCTTGTGGCTTGTCTTTCTGTTCTTTCAGCAGTGTCTTTTGTAGAGCAGAAGTTTTAATTTTGATGAAGTCCAAGTTTTCCTTTGATGTTATTATTTTATGGATTCCACTTTTGGTGTTGTACCTAAGAAATGCCTAACCCAACGTCACCAAGGGTTTTCTCCTTTGCTTCTTCTAGAAGTTTTATAGTTTTAGGATTTATTAGATCTAGAATCAATTTTGAGTTAATTTTTGTATATTGTGAAGTATTCAAATTCTTTTTTTATTCCTAATCAATATCCAGTTATTCCAGCAACATCTGTTGTAAAGGCCATCTTATCTCTGCTGCCTTGCCTTGTGCCCTTACCAAAAACCTATTGTCGATTTATGTGTGGATCTACTTCTTAAAATTATTTGTGGGCTGGTTGCAGTGGCTCATGCCTGTAATCCCAGCATTTTGGGAAGCTGAGGTCAGAGAATCGCTTGAGCCCAGGAGTTCAAGACTCTGTCTTCTTTTTTTAAGAAAAAAAAAAAAAAAAAAAATATATATATATATATATATATATATAAAATTTGTGTACAGACAGAGTCTTGCTATGTTGCCATGTTGTCTAGACTGCTCTCAAACTCCTGGCCTCAAGTGATCTCCTGCCTTGGCCTCCCAAAGTGCTGGGATTACAGGCATGAACCACTACACCTGGCCCAGAGGCCCAGATCTATTTCTGACATCTCTACTCTCTTTCATTGATCCATGTGTCAATTTTTGTTTGTTTGTTTTATCATCTGATATGGTTTGGATCTGTGTCCCCACCCAAATCTCATGTCAAGTAGTAATCCCAATGTAGGGGGTGAGGCCTGGTGGGAGTGATTAGATCATAGGGGCGGATTTCCCTCTTGGTGCTGTTCTGGTAGTCAGTGAGTTCTTCTGAGATCTGGTTGTTGAAAAGTGTGTCACGTCCCCCACATGTTCCTTCTCCAGCCATGGTTCATGCCTGTAATCCCAGCACTTTGGGAGGCCAAGGCAGGAGGATCACTTGAGGCCGGGAGTTTGAGACCAGCCTGGACAACATAGCAAGACTCTGTCTCTACACAAATGATTTATATTTATTTATTTATTTATTTTTACTTAAAAAAATAAGACGGGGTCTTGAACTCCTGGGCTCAAGCGATTTTCCTACCTCAGCTTCCCAAAGTACTGGGATTACAGGCATGAGCCACCACAACCAGCCCACAAATAATTTTTAAAAAGAAGTAGATCCACTTTAAAAAGGAGTAGATCCAGCTCCCCTTTTGCCTTCTGCCACGGTTGTTTCCTGAGGCCTCCCTAGAAGCCCAGCAGATGCCATCATTGTGTTTCCTATACAGCCTGTGGAACCATGAGCCAAGTGAACCTCTTTTCTTTATAAATTACCCAGTCTTGGCCAGGCTTAGTGGCTCACACCCGCAATCCCAGCACTTCGGGAGGCCAAGGTGGGCAGATCACTTGAGGTCAGGAGTTCGAGACCAGCCTGGACAACATAGCAAGACTGTCTCTACAAAAAATTAGCTGGGTGTGGTGACATGCACCTGTAATTCCAGTTAGGAGGCTGAGGCAGGAGAATCACTTGAACCCAGGAGGTGGAGGTTGCAGTGAGCCAAGATTGCACCACTGCCCATCTCAAAAAAATAAAAAATAAAAAAATAAATTCCCCAGTCTTGATAGTATTTATAATATTTAACTTAATTACTATAGTTAAAGGAATTAACAACAGTTTTCATTTTATAGCAATGCGAGAATGAACTAATATATTATCCCAGATATATGTCTATCTTACTGCTAATATGAAGCTATTTGGTCTGTCATAGCCTTGTCTTGAAATCAGGTGGTGTCAGCCCTCCACCTTTGTCCTTTGGCAGAGTTGTTTGCCCACTCTATAAACTCTGCATTGCCACCCCACTTTTTAAATAGCTTCTCAATTTCCACAAAAAAAACTAGCTGGGATTTTGATTATAATTACTTTGAATAGATAGATCAACTTGGAGGAAACTGACATCTTAACAGTATTGAGTCTTCTAACCCATGAACAAGGTATACTTCACCATTTATTCATATCTTCTTTAATATAGCTCAGCAATGTTTTTAGTTACCAGCATACAGGTCTTTCACATCCTCAGATTAATCCTTAAGTATTTCATCATCTTTTAGAATTCTATTGTAAATTGCAGTTCTTAATTTCCATTTCTGATTGTTTGTTGCTGGTAAACAGAATATAATTCATTTGAGTATGTTGATTTTGTGCTCTGCAAACTTGCTAAACTCACTTATTAGTTCTAATAGCTCTTTTGTAGAATCTATCACATTTTCTACATAGATATCATGACATCTATGAATAACAGTTTTAATTTCTTTCCAATCTGATGCTTTTTATTTCTTTTTCTTGGCTTGATTCCACTGGCAAGAACCTCTAGTGGAATACTGAATAGAATTGGTGAAAGCAGACATCCTTGTATTGTTCCTGATCTTAGGAGGAAAATATTCATTTTTCACCACTGAGTATAATGTTAGATGTAGTTTTTTGGATTTTCTATATCGGTTTGAGGAAATTCCCTTTTATTCCAAGTTTACTGAGACTATCAGGAATTGGTGTTGGATTTGGTCAAAAGTTTTTCTGCATGTATTGAGGTGATCACATAGGTTTTCTTTTCTTTTTTTTTTCTTTCTCTCTCTCTCTCTCTTTGAGACAGGGTCTTTCTCTGTCACTCATGCTGGAATGCAGTGGCACAATCAGGGCTCGATGCAGCCTCAACCTCCCAGGCTCAAGTGATCCTCCCACCTCAGCCTCCCAAGTAGCTGGGACCACAGGCACGTGCCACCACACCTGGCTAATTTTATCTTTTGTAGAAACAAGGTCTCACTATGTTGCCCAGGATGATCTCAAACTCCTAGGCTTAAGCAGTCCTCCAGCCTTGGCTTCCCAAAGTTCTAGCATTACAGGCATGAACCACTGCACCCAACCAATTTTTAAATTTTTTATATTTTGTAGAGACAGAGTTGCTCTCGCTATGTTGCCCAGGCTGGTCTTGAACTCCTGGCCTCAAGCAATCCTCCCACCTTGGCCTCCCAAAGTGCTGAGATTATAGGAATGAGCCACCATGCCTGCTTGGTTTACTTTACTTCATGAATCTTGGGTCTGATTTCTTAGATTTGTAGGTGCATAGTTTTAATCAAGTTTCGAAAACTTGTCTGTTCTTCCTCCAAATAGTTTTCAGTTGGCCTCCCTCCTTTGGAGACTCTTTTTATCTATATGCTAAGTAGCTCTAAGTTGTCCTACAGTTAACTAGGGCTCTTATCATCCTTTGTTATTCTGATTTTTCTCACAGTATGTCATTTGGTTTAGTGTCCACTGCTATGTCTTCAAATTCACTAACCTTTTTTCTGCAATGTTTAATCTGCCTTTAATTCCATCCAGTGTATTTGTCTTCTCATAATTTGTCATTTCTTCTATAGAACTTTGATTTGGGTATTTTAAAAATACATCCCATATTTCTACTTTAACTTCTTGAACACATGAAATGCAATTTTGATAGCATCTAAACATAATTCTAAATGTAACAGATATAACGCTAACATCGGTGTCAGTTCTGGGACAGTTACGATTGATTACTCTCTCATTATGGGTCATATTTTTCTGCCTCTTCGCATGCCTGGAAATCTTTGGTTGGCTGCCAGACATTGTGACTTTATCTTGCTGGGTGCTGGATATTTTTATATTCCTATAAATCTTCTTGGGCTTTGCTTTTTGAAAACAGTTGGATCTTCTCGTGTCTTGCTTTTAAGATTTGTTAGGTGGGTGTGGAGCAGTGCTCTGACAGAAGCTAATGACTCCCTACCACTGAGCTGAGACCTTTTTGAGCATGCTACTCAATGCCCTGTGAATTATGAGTTTTTCCAGTCAGCCTGGTGGGGACAGGCACTGTGTCCTTTGTCCTCTGTGTACACTGGGCACCTCTAATCTTTTCTGATAGTTCCGTCCTTGGCCTTGTGTAGATTCTCTCCACACTTGTGATGATTAGCACTCCACTGAGTACTGAAGGAAACCCTCCACGGATCTTTGTGCAGCCCTTTCCTGTCTGATGTTCTGACCTATGAACACTAACTGCTTCGGTCTCCCTAAACTCTTAGCTCTATTTCTTCAATGCAGGAAGTCGGCCAGATTTGGCCTCAGTTCTTCTTTCCTGCATCTTGGCCTGGAAGCTTTCTCAAGGCAGTAACCTGGGTCAGAGAGCTCATCTCTCTCTTTTTTTTGTCTCTCAGGGATCATTTTTCACCTTTGCTTAATGTAGAGTGTCTGGCCAGGCGCGGTGGCTCATGCCTGTAAATCCAGCACTTTGGGAGCCCGAGGTGGGCGGATCACCTGAGGTCAGGAGTCCGAGACCAGCCTGGCCAACATGGTGAAACCCCATCACTACTAAAAATACAAAAATTAGCCGGGCATGGTGGCACGCACCAGTAGTCCCAGCTACTCAGGACGCTGATGCAGGAGGCAGGAGAATTGCTTGAACTCAGGAGACGGAGGTTGCAGTGAGCCGAGATTGTACCACTGCGCTCCAGCCTGGGCGACAGAGTGAGACTCCATCGCCAAAAAAAAAAAAAAAAAAAGTAGAGTGTCTTGAAAACTACATTTTCACAGATCTTCCCTGTTTTTTGGGTTGTTTCAGGCTAGGCAATACCTCCAGTTCCTGTTATCTCATCTTGGCTTGAAGCAGAAACTAAGTGTTTTATTTATTTTATTTTATTTTATTTTAGACGGAGTCTCGCTCTGTCACCCAGGCTGAAGTGCAGTGGCACGATCTTGGCTCACTGAGACCTCCGCCTCCCAAGTTCAATTGATTCCCCTGCCTCGGCCTCTCCAGTAGCTGGGATTACAGGCGCCTGCCACCACGCCCAGCTATTTTTTCTGTTTTTACTAGAGACGGGTTTCACCAAATTGGCCAGGCTGGTCTCAAACTCCTGACCTCAGGTGATCCGCCCACCTCAGCCTCCCAAAGTGCTGGGATTACAGGCATGGGCCACCGCACCCAGCCCATTTTATTTCATTTTTGTAGAGACGAGGTCTCACTATGTTGCTCAGGCTGGTCTCAAACTCGTGGGCTCAAGCGATCCTCCAGCCTTGGCCTCCCAAAGTTCTGGGATCATAGGTGTGAGTCACCATGCCCAGCCACAATATTTTTCAAACCCTAAAATGAGACATTTGGGCTAAGATGTTTTGGCTTATTTATTTATAAAAAGGGACCTACTCAGACACAGGCTACTGTTGATATACATTTCATAACTGACTCTAATGAAAAATAAAGAGGAAAAGCATAATCGGAGTATACTCTTGATTGGGCATTGTGGCTCATGCCTGTAATTCTAGCACTTTGGGAGGCAGATGCTGGAGGATCACTTGAGCCCAGAAATTCGAGACCAGCCTGGGCAACACAGCGAGACCTAGTCTCTACAAAAGATTAAAAAATTATTCATTTGTGGTGGTGTACACCTGTAGTGCCAGCTACTCGGGAGGCTGAAGCAGGAGGATCACTTGAGCCCAAGAGTTTGAGACCAGCCTGGGCAACATAGTGAGACACTGCATTGCAGCCTGGGTGACAGAGTGAGACCCTGTCTCAAATAAAAAGAAAAAATCCAATCCCAGTAAGTAATATAAAATATTGGGAATCCAGTCAAAATTAAGTTCTATACCTCCAAAAAGTCATAAAACTTTCATCATATAACTCATAATATTTGCCACCATCAGCATCACAAGGAAGCCTCTGGCCGGCATTTAAGGTCTTCAGTCGGGCTTTTCCACCTCTTTCCAACCTTATGTCCCGTAGAAATCTTTACTTCAGCCAAGTGTTATTTAGCTATTGTTCGATTTCTCATTGTATAACCATTCACATTATTCTCTTGTCTTCATAATCTTTGTTCTCTCACCCCAGCCCCAATCCAGTCTTTTCTTTTTTTTTTTTTTTTTTTGACAGAGTTTCACTCTTGTTGCCAAGGCTGGAGTGCAGTGGCGCTATCTCAGCTCACTGCAACCTCTGCCTCCCGGGTTCAAGCGATTCTCCTGCCTCAGCCTCCCCAGCAGCTGGGATTACAGGCAGGCGCCACCACACCTGGCTAATTTTGTATTTTTAGTAGGGAAAGGGTTTCTCCATGTTGGTCAGGCTGGTCTCGAACTCCTGACCTCAGGTGATCCATCCACCTCGGCCTCCCAGAGTGCTTGGATTACAGGCGTGAGCCACCGCATGCGGCTTTTATCCAGTCATTCTTACAACACTTTTACCTCTTGTTAGTCTTGTGAACTTTACAACTCTAAAAAATCTTTCTCTTATATTTCTATTTCTTTTAAGCTTTATAGTACTTGCTTTCTGTATCAATCATTTGACAATCCATGATCCAGCTATGTATTTTTCTTTTACTATCTGTGTATGTCTTCCCAAGAATATGTAAATTTTTGAGGTAAGGAATATGCCTTTTTAAAACAAATTTTTAGAGACAGAGTCTTGCTATGTTGCCCAGGCTGGTCTTGAACTCCTGAGCCAAGTGATCTGCCTGCCTCAGCCTCCCAAAGTGCTGGGATTACAGGTGTGAGCCACTGTGCCCAGCCTATAGCTAGCTTTATAGTAAGTCTTGAAGCAAGGTATTGTCAATCCTCCAAATTTGCTATTCTTCTTCAATATTGAATTGGCTCTACTAGGTCTTTTGACCCTTCACATACATTTTAACATCAGTTTGTCGATATCCACAAAGTAACTTGCTGGGACTTTGACTGAAGTTGCATTAAATCTATAGATCCAGGTGGGAAGAACTGTCACCTTGATGATATTGAGTCTCCTTGCCCATGAGCATGAAATATCTTTTCATTTATTTAGTTCTTCTTCGAGTTCTTTCATCTTTTCTTTTATTGTTTTCCTTATACAGATTGCAGAGGCCAAAGCAACTTCATTTGGATCCTCATCTGCCATTTTGGCTTCTGATTAACCCCTGTTCCAGGAAGCCGTCTAAGATTTCCAGTTTATCCATTGTTTTTTGTATAAGAGCCGGTACTTATCATAAAATTGTTATCATACATCGGCCAGGTGCGGTGGCTCATGCCTGTAATCCCAGCACTTTGGGGGGCCGAGGCAGGTGGATCACCTGAGGTCAGGAGTTCGAGACCAGCCTCAACATGGAGAGACCCCGTCTCTACTAAAAATACAAAATTAGCTGGGCATGGTGGTGCATGCCTGTAATCCCAGCTACTTGGGAGGCTGAGGCAGAAGAACTGCTTGAACCTGGGAGGTGGAGGTTCGGTGAGCCGAGATTGCACCATTGCACTCCAGCCTGGGCAACAAGAGCGAAACTCTGTCTCAATAAAAACCAAAAAAGCAAAAAAAAATTGTTATCATATTTCAACTATCCTTGATGTTATCATACTTCAATTGTCCTACACATCCCTTCTGAACCACCACTTCTCTTTGGTATGTAAGTGCTGGGTCTAAGGGATAAGGTTGCAGGGATCCACCATCTTGTCTCACTGCCACCCAAGACACAGTCATGGCTTCTGTTCAGAAGTCCCTATTAACTATTTCTTTCTAAGAAACATGTAACCACCCAAAGGGTTCATCTTGCCCACTGCCTAGACAGAGCCGATTCATCAAGACGGGGGAATTGGCCAGGCACGGTGGCTCACACCTGTAATCCTAGAACTTTGGGAGGTGCAGGCGGGCAGATTGCCTGAGCTCAGGAGTTCAAGACCAGCCTGGACAACATGGTGAAACCCCCTCTCTACTAAAATACAAAAAATCAGCCAGGTTTGGTGGTGTGTGCCTGTAGTCCCAACTACTCAGGAGGCTGAGGCATGAGAATTGCTTGAACCCGGGAGGCAGAGGTTGCGGTGAGCCAAGATCATGCCACTGCACTCCAGCCTGGGTGACAAAGCAAAACTCTGTCTCCAAAAAAAAGGCAGGGGAATTGCAGTAGAAAAAGAGTAATTCACACAGAGCTGGCTGTGTGGGAGACCAGAATTTTGTTATTACTCAAATCAGTCTCCCCCAGCATTTGGGGAACAGAGTTTTTAAGGATGACTTGGTGGGTAGGGGGAGGCCAGTGAGCCAGGAGTGCTGATCAGTCGGAGATGAAATCATAAGGACTCAAAGCTGTCTTCTTGCACTGAGTCAGTTCCTGAGTGGGAGGCCACAAGATCAGATGAGCCAGTTTATTGATCAGGGTGGTGCCAGCTGATCCATCAAGTGCAGGGTTGGAAAAATATCCCAAGCACACTGATCTTAGGAGCAGTTTAGGGAGAGTCAGAAGCTTGTAGCCTCCAGCTGCATGACTCCTAAACCATAATTTATAATCTTGTGGCTAATATTACTCCTACAAAGGCAATCTAGTCCCCAGGCAAGAAGGAGGTCTTTGTTTAAACTGTAAACTATAAACTAAGTTTCTTTCAAAGTTAGTTCAGCCTACACCCAGGAATAAAGAAGGACAGCTTGGAGGTTAGAAGCAAGATGGAGTCGGTTAACTTAGACGTCTTTCACTGTCTCAATCATAATTTTGCAAAGGCAGTTTCAATCTGAGTTTGTCAGCCTCTTTCTTCAGCCTCTCAGCTTCCTTGGACTTTAGGGGTAGGTTTGCATAGTACCCCCCAAGAAACATAGATCTTGTACATATTTTGTTAGATTTATACCTAAGTATTGCATTTTTAGAGGAGCTAATATAAATGGTACTGTGTTTTTAATTTCAAATTCTACTTTTTCATTGCTGGCATATGAAAAAGTGATTGGCTTTTGTATATTAATGTTGGATTCTGCAACCTTGCTGTAATTGTTTATTCGTTTCAGGAGGTTTTTTTGCTGTTGTCATTGAATATTTCAGATTTTCTACATAGACCATCATGTTATCTGCAAAGACAGTGTTAATTCTTCCTTCCCAATTAATATATTTTATTTCCTTTTTTTGTCTTATTGCCTTAGCTTGGACTTCCAGTATGATGTTGAAAAGGAGTGGCAAGAGAAGACATCCTTGACTTGTTATTGATCGTATCAGAAAACTTCTAGTTTCTCACTATTAATGGATGTTGGCTGTAGGTTTTATTAAGATTTTTTTTTTTTTTTTTGAGATGGAGTTTTGCTCTTGTCGCTCAGACTGCAGTGCAGTGGCACGATCTCGGCTCACTGCAACCTCTGCCTCCCGTGTTCAAGCCATTCTCCTGCCTCAGCCTCCCAAGTAGCTGGGATTACAGGAGCCTGCCACCATGCCCAGCTAATTTTTTTGTATTTTTAATAGAGACGGGGTTTCTTCATGTTGAGCAGGCTGGTCTCGAACTCCTGACCTCAGGTGATCTGCCCGCCTTGGCCTCCCAAAGTGCTGGGATTACAGGCATGAGCCACCGGGCCCAGTCGTAGATGTTCTTTATGAAGTTGAGGAAAGTTTTGCTCTATTCCTACCTTGCTAAGAGTGGTTTGTTGTTTTTTTAATTTTTATTTATTTATTTATTTTTTTGAGATGGAGTCTCGCTCTGTCTCTCCCAGGCTTTAGTGCAGTGGTGCGATCTCGGCTCACTGCAGCCTCTGACTCCCGGGTTCAAGCAATTCTATTGTCTCAGCTTCCTGAGTAGCTGGGACTACAGGTGTGTGCCATCACACCTGGCTAATTTTGTATTTTTAGTAGAGACGGGGTCTCACCATATTGGCCAGGCTGGTCTCAAACTCCTGACCTCAGGTGGTCCACCAGCCTTGGCCTCCCAAAGTCCTGGGATTACAGATATGAGCCACCATGCCCAGCCCCATTTTTTTCTTTTTTATCATGAAAGGCTGTTGGATTTTGTCAAATGCTTTTTCTGTATCTATTGATGTGATTACTGATGTTTCATATTTAACCTCATGTTGCAATAGGTTACATTAATTGATTTTTGGGTGTTAAATCAGTCTTGCATATCTGGGCTAAATCTGCTCAGTCATGGTGTATAATTCTTTATATACATTGTTGAATTCAATTTGCTAATATTTTGTTGAGTATTTTTGAATCTATGTTCACAGAGATATTGGTTTGTAGTTTCTCTTCTTGTAACACTTTTGTCTGGTTTTGGTATTAGGCTAATGCTGGCATCATAGAATGAGTTAGGTTCCCTCCACTGCTATCTTCTGGAAGAGAGAATTGGTATAATTTTCTTCATTAAATGTTTGGTAAAACTCACCAGTAAATCCATCTGGGCCTGGTGCTTTCTGTTTTGGAAGGTTATTAATTATTGATTCAATTTCTTTAATTAATAGATAATAGGCTTATTCAAATTGTTTCTCCTTATGTGAATTTTGGTATAGTATTTATTTAAAGGAATTGGCTCATTTCATCTAGGTTATTAAATTTATGGGCATAGAGTTGTTCATAATATTCCTTTATTATGTTTTTAATGCCCATGGGATCATTGTGATGTCTCTTCTTACATTTTTTTTTTTTTTTTTTTGAGACAGAGTCGCTCTCTGTTACCCAGGCTGGAGTGCAGTGGTGCGATCTCGGCTCACTGCAAGCTCCGCCTCCCGGGTTCATGCCATTCTCCTGCCTCAGCCTCCCGATTAGCTGGGACTACAGGCGCTTGCCACCACGCCTGGCTAATTTTTTGTATTTTTAGTAGAGATGGGGTTTCACCATGTTAGCCAGCATGGTCTCGATCTCCTGACCTTGTGATCCGCCCGCCTTGGCTTCCCAAAGTGCTGGGATTACAGGCGTGAGCCACCATGCCCAGCCTTCTTTTTTGAGACAGAGTCTCCCTCTGTTGCCCAGGCTGGAGTGCAGTGGTGCCATCTTGGCTCACTGCAACCTCTGCCTCCCTGGTTCAAGCGATTCTCCTGCCTCAGCCTCCCGAGTAGCTGGGATTATAGGCATGCTTCACCATGCCCAGCCAATTTTTGTATTTTTAGTAGAGATGGGGTTTCACCATGCTAGCCAGGCTGGTCTTGAACTCCTGACCTCAAATGAATCACCTGCCTTGGCCTCCCGAATTGCTGGGATTACAGGCATGAGCCACTGTGCCCAGCTCCTTCTTACATTTCTGATATTAGTAATTTATGTCTTCTTTCTTTTTCTAGGTTAGCTTTTCTAGACACTTATTGATTTTACTGATCTTTTTAAAGAACCAGCTTTTGGTTTTGTTGATTTTTTTCTATTGATTTTCTGTTTCCAGTTTTATTGTCTTGGGCTCTAATTTTTATTCTTTCTTCTCTTCTCCTTTCTTTGGATTTAATTTGTTCTCCTTTTTCTGTTTTCCTAAAGTGGAAGCATAGACTATTGATTTAAAATCTTACTTATTTTCTAATATATACATTCAAACTATAAATTTCCTTCTAAGTACTGCTTTTGCTGAATCCCACAAATTTTGATAAGTTGTACTTTCATTTTCATTTAGTTCAAAGTATTTTTAAAATTTATCTTTTGATTTCTTCCTTGATCCATGTGTTATTCAGAAGTATGTTGTTTGATCTACAAGTACAATATTTTGAGATTTTCCAGATATCTTTTTATTATTGGTTTCTAGTTTAATTCCACTGTGGTCTAAGAGCAGATACTGTGTAATTTCTATTCTTTTAAATTTGTTGTGGTGTGTTTATGACCAAGTCTGTTTGCTATCTTGGTGAATGTTCATGTGAGCTTGGAAAGAGTGTGTGTTCTACAGTTGTTAGATGAAGTAGTCAATAGATATCAATAATATCAAGTTGATTGATGGTGCTATTGAATTCCACTATGTTCTGTTCCTACTCATTTTCTGCCTGCTAGGTCTGTTCCCTCCCTCCCTCCCTCCCTTCCTCCCTTCCTCCCTTCCTTCCTTCCCTCCTTCCCTCCTTCTTTGAGACAGGGTCTTGCTCTGTTTCCCAGGCTGGAGTGCAGTGACATGAATCTCCTGGGCTCAAGTGATCTTCCCCACCTCAGCCTCCCAAGTAATTACAGGTATGCATCACCATGCCTGGCTAATTTTTTTATTTTTAGTAGAGACAAAGTCTTGCCACGTTGCCCAGGCTGGTCTCAAACTCCTGGGCTCGAGCTATTTCCAACCACAATAGTAGATTCATTTAGTTCTCCTTGCACTTCTGTCTGTTTTTGCCTTGTGCATTTTGATGCTTTGTTGTTAGGTGCATACACATTAAGGATTGTTATGTCTTCTTGAATAATTGACCCCTTTATTATTATGTAATACCCCTCTTTAGCTCTGATAACCTTCCTTGCTCTGAAGTCTGCTCTTTCAATATTAATATAGCTATTTTCACTTTCTTTTGATTAGTGTTATCATGGTATGTATCTCTCTAATTTTTACATTTAATGTATATGTGCCTTTATATTTAAAGTGGGTCTCTTGTGAACAACATCTAGTTGGGTCTTTTTTTGATCCACTCTAACAATCTCTTTTAATTGGTGTATTTAGATCATTGATGTTTAGAGTGATTATTGATATAATTGGTATCTACCATATTTGTTACTGTTTTCTATTCATTGCCTTTATTCTTTGTTCCTATTTTTGTCTTCTACAGTTTTTCTGCTTTTTGTGATTTTAATGAAGTATTTCATATAATTCCATTTTCTCTTCTTTCTTAGTATATCTGTTATACTACTTTTTTAAAACTTACTTTTTCTTTAGTTGTTGTCCTACAGTTTGCAATATACATTTACAGCTAATACAAATCCACTTTCAAGCAGCATTATACCATTACACAGGCAGTGCAGGTACCTATAATAACAAAATAATCCTTATTCTTCCCTCCTATTTCTTAAATCATTATTGTAATTCATTTCACAGATACATAAGCATACGTAAATATATATGTATATAAGCATACATAATTGAGTACATTGTGGTGTTATTATTTTGAACAAACTGTTATTGTTAGTTAAATTAACAATAAGAAAAATAACCAGGCCAGGCGCAGTGGCTCACGCCTGTAATCCCAGCACTTTGGGAGGCCAAGGTGGGTGAATCACCTGAGGTTAGGAATTTGAGACCAGCCTGGCCAACATGGTGAAACCCCATCTCTACTAAAAATACAAATATTAGCCAGGTGTGGTGGCTCATGCCTGTAATACCAGCTACTTGGGAGGCTGAGGCAGGAGAATCGCTTGAACCCAGGAGGTGGAGGTTGAAATTTGCTGAGATCATGCCACTGCACTCCAGCCTGGGCAACAGAGTGAGACTTGGTCTCAAAAAAAAAAAAAAAAAAGATAAAAAAAAATAACCAGCCTGGGCAACATTGCAAGACCCTGTTTCTACAAAAAATTTAAAAATTAGCTGAGATTAGTGTTGCATGCCTGTAGTCCCAGCTACTTGGGAGGCTGAGGCAGTAGGATTTTTTGAGTCCAGGAGGTCAGGGCTACAGTGAGATATGACTGTGCCACTGCATTCCAGCCTAAGTAACAGATTGAGCCCCTGTCTCTAAAAAGAAAGAAAGAAAAAAAAAAGAATGTTTTTATTTTACCTGCACCTTTTTTTTTTTTTTTTTTTGAGACAGAGTCTCACTCTTACCCAGGCTGGAGTGCAATGGTGCGATCTTGGCTCACTACCACCTCTGCCTCTGAGGTTCGAGCGATTCTCCTTCTTCAGCCTCCCAAGTGACTGGGATTACAGGCATGCACCACCATGCCCAGCTAATTTTTGTATTTTTAGTAGAGACGGGGTTTCACCATGTTGGTCAGTCTGGTTTTGAACTCCTGACCAAAGGTGATCCAGCTGCCTTGTCCTCCCAAAGTGCTGGGATTATGGGAGTGAGCCACCATGCCCGGCCTACTTTCACTTTTTTCGAAAGATCTTCCTTTCTTTATGTAATCTGAGTTTCTGACCTATGTCATTTTCTTTTCCTTTAAAGAACTTCTTTTAGCATTTCTTCCAAGCGTGACTACTGGCAAGAAATTCTCTTAATTTTTGTTTATCCGAGAAGCTTTTTATCTCTCCTTCATTTGTGCAGGATAATTTTGCAGGATATAGAATTTCAGATTGGTGCCATTTTTTCTCTTTCAATAACACTTTAAAAAGTTTCACTTCACTTTCATCTTGCTTACATGATTTCTGAAGAGAAGTTGGGTGTCATTCTTACTTTTGGTCCTCTGTAAATAAGGTGTTTTTTCTCTCTGTCTTTTTTCGAACTTTTTTCTCTGTATTTGATTTCCTACAGTTTGAACATGATATGCCTACATGTAATTTTTTGGCATTTATCCTGCTTTGCATATTCTGAGCTTCCTGGATACGTGGTTTGGTGTCTGACATTATTAATATGGGGGGAAATACACAGTCATTATTCTAATAGTTTTTCTGTTCCTTCCTGTCTTTTCCTTCTGATATTCTCATTATGGGTATGTTAAACCTTTAGTAGTTGTCTTACAGTTCTTAGATATTCATTCCAGTTTTTTCCAATCTTTTTTCTCTTTCTCTTTGCTTTTCCATCTTGGAAGTTTCTATTAACATATCCTCAAGCTCAGAGGAGATTTTTTCCTCAGCCATGTCCAGTCTACTAATGAGTCCATGAAAGACATTCCTTCATTTCTGTTACAGTATTTTTATCTGTAGCATTTCTTTTTTGATTTTTTCTTAGAATTTCCATCTCTCTGTTTACATTGCCCATTTGCTCTTTCATGCTACCTACTCTATCCATTACAGCCCTTAACATATATATATTTTATATATATATATGTTATATATTTTGTTTATTTATTTATTTATTTATTTTGAGACAGAGTCTTGCTCTGTCACCCAGGCTGGAGTACAGTGGCATGATCTCGGTTCACTGCAACCTCCACCTCCTGGGTTCACGCCATTCTCCTGCCTCAGCCCCCCGAGTAGTTGGGATTACAGGGGCATGCCACCACACCCAGCTAATTTTTATATTTTTAGTAGAGATGGGTTTTTGCCATGTCGGCCAGGCTGGTCTCAAACTCCTGACCTCAAGCTATCTGCCCATCTTGGCCTCCCAAAGTGCTGGGATTACAGGCGTGAGCCACCACGCCCAGCCCAGCCCTTAACAAATTAATAATAGTTATTTTAAATTCCCATTCTGATAATTCCAACATTCCTGCCATATATATATGAGTCTGATTCTGATGCTTGCCCGGTCTCTTCAAACTGTATTTTTTTGGCTGAGCGTGGTGGCTCACGCCTGTAATCCCAGCACTTTGGGAGGCCGAGGTGGGCAGATCATAAGGTCAAGAAATCGAGACCATCCTGGCCAACATGGTGAAACCCCGTCTCTACTAAAAATACAAAAATTAGCTGGGCATGGTGGCGCATGTCTGTAGTCCCAGCTACTCGGGAGGCTGAGGCAGGAGAATCGCTTGAACCCGGGAGGCAGAGGTTGCAGTGAGCCAAGATCGTGCCACTGCACTCCAGCCTCACGACAGAGTGAGACTCCATTAAAAAAAAAACAAAAACAGAAAACAAAAAGCAAACTGTAACTTTTTGCCTTTTAGTATGTCTTATAATTTTTTCTTAACCTGCTGGACATGATATACTGGGTAAAAGGAACTGATATTCATAGGTCTTCAGCAATGTGCTGTTAAGGTGTCGGGGGAGAGAAGCTTTCCCTAGTGCTATGGTTACATCTCAGTCTTTTGTCAGCCTATGACTCTGAACTGTGAACTTCACAAGTGTTTCTCAGTCCCACCCACCCCCCTTTAGGTGGGATCTGATGGTTAGAGTGGGTTGGAGTTGGGTATTTTCCTTCCTCCAGGCCAGTTAATTTCTCATAAAATAGTTTCTTCTAAGATCAGGCCTTGTTAAGAAGAATAGAATGCTCTGGTATATTTCAAAATGGTTCTTTCCCCTCCCTCTTCTACAAACACAAGGGGATTTTTCTCCAGGAGTCACTGTGTGAACCTGGGGGAGCTTCTAAGGTGAATACAAAAGTGTGGTGAGGGAGCCTGAAGTTTTCATTGCTCAGAGAATTGCTAGCAACTCAGCAATTCTTCAGTTACAGTTCAGGTTTTCCTACCCCAGAGCTGGTTCCTGGGGAGGTTTCTACTCCCATCAGTTGTGGGTCTCTATATCCACCTGTCTGTGTCTCCAATTCTGGGGGTAGGAATTTGCCCTATGACCTTACTTCTCTGACAAATGTAAGAAGAGTGTTAGATTTTTCAGTGTGTGGAGCTTTGTACTTGTTAGGACAGAGTGATGACTTCCAAGCTCCCTGCGTGCTGGCCATTATAAAGTTTTAAGTATTTGAGAGCAAAATAACTATTTTATTGTTGAATTGATATATTTTGCAATCTTCATTAATGCAGCATGATTCAACCACTCTACAACTTCAACCACCTACTGAAGTTTTAGATACACTTTTTCCTTATTTATCTCTGAAGTATTTATACTTCAGCTAAAATGATCATCTTGTGTACTTAAAATTCTTCTTTTTTGGATTATTTTCTTTTTATATTCAAAATTTAGATCCATAATCCTCAATCCCAAACTCTATTTTTTAAAAAAGACTACAGTGTTTGTAATTGATTAGATCACTAGATGTGGAGAGGGGATGAGGAGAGAGGGATAAAAATTATTCTTTCCAGAGCTACAAGTCTCTGACTGATTGAAGTAAAAAAAAAATCTGAGGAAAACTCAGCATTATTGGAAGTTGCCCGTTTAAACAACTAAAGTCAGTCGGGCGCGGTGGCTCACACCTGTAATCCCAGCACTTTGAGAGGCCAAGGCGGGAGGATCACCTGAGGTCAGGAGTTCGAGACCAGCCTGGCCAACATGGTGAAACCCTGTCTCTACTAAAAATACAAAAATCAGCTGGGTGTGCTGGCGCATGTCTGTAATCCCAGCTACTTGGGAGACTGAGGCAGGAGAATCGCTTGAACCTGGGAGGCGGAGGTTGCAGTGAGCCCAGATCATGCCACTGCACTCCAGCCTGGCTGCCAGAGCGAGACTCCATCTCAAAAATAAATAAATAAATAAACAACTAAAGTCACAATCCCTGCCTTCTCAAGAAAACAGATACCCTTGAAACTGAGAAAGCTTCTATTGAAATACCGGTGATAGGCAGTTCTAAAATTCAGGGTCAGGGCCAGGTGCAATGGCTCACGCTTGTAATCCCAGCACTTTGGGAGGCCGAGGCGGGCAGATCACCTCAGGTCAGGAGTTCGACACCAGCCTGGCCAACACGGCGAAACACCATCTCTACTAAAAATACAAAAATTACCCAGATGTGGTGGCGGGCACCTGTAATCCCAGCTACTTGGGAGGCTGAGGCAGGAGAATCACTTGAACCCCGGGGGGTGGAGGCTGCAGTGAGCCAAGATGGTGCCACTGCACTCCAGCCTGGGCGACAGAGTGAGACTCCATCTCAAAAAAACAATAAGTAAAATTAAAAAATTAAAAATTGAATGCAAATTCTTAATGATCACAAGAGAAACGTAAATTAATTTGTTAACCTATGATAAATTATATTCCAAATACAATTGAGCTAAATTTATCTCTGTGCTAAAGGTACCAGGTATAACTTGCTTATTTTAAGTAGGCGTTTCTGCCACTAAAATTGCTGTGTTACAGCTATTAATAACACAACAGCAGTGCTGGTTTGAGGTTGCTGATGTGCAGGTCCTCTGAGCTGCTGTTTGCCTTTGGTGCCCGTACCTGCCTCTCAGTGTACTTCCATTTCCTTGTTGCTTTCATTATTTCCTTCCTTCATAACGCTCCCATGCCTTCTAGAGAAAACCTGATTGGATAAAACTTAATAGCATAAGACTATTTGCGTCTTGAAAAGGATTAAAATAGTGTGACACAAAGGCATAAAGTGCTAAAGGTGTAAGTTGAGATAGGAAAAAGTCTGAAGTCACTTCACATATGCTAACCACAACTCTGTAAAATGGAGGAAAAATCCATTTTACTTTCATTTTTTTTAAAGGAAGCAAGTGTAAATTAATATTACTTTTGTTTTTATTTGAACAATTCATAGTCTGGAAAATAAGAAGACTGAAGGGAAATTTTTTAGGTGACTAAATGTTTGGAACAGATTACTGTGTGAAACATGGTTTGTTGGGGGACAGGGAAGGTCAAGACTTATTTTGCTAAGCAGGTGCCTTTGTAAAAAATCATTTCTAAATTTGCTATTAAAATTTTTTAATTACATAAAAATACATAAATAAGTTATTTATTTTAAATGAAAGAACATTACAGACAAAGCTAAAGTCCCCTTTAAGCATTACTTTCTCCCAACCCTAGTCCTTTCCTAATTGCCCAGAAATAGCCATTATTAGCTATTGTTATGAGCTTGGCATGTATCTGTTTGTTTGTTGTAGAAATGGGGTTTAGCTATGTTGCCTAGGCTTAATGCAGTGGCTATTCACAGGTGCCATCATAGTGCACTGCAGCCTTGAACTCCTGGCCTCAAGTGATCTTCTCGACTCAGCCTCCCCAGTATCTGGGACCACAGGTTTGTGCCATCAGTGCCTGGCTATTTATTTAAAGTAGCTTTATTGGGGTATAATTGCCATAGAATCAACTGCACATATGTCAAGTGCACAACTTGATCAGTTTTGACATACATATAGGCCCATGAAACTATCATCATGAGCAAAAGAATGAACATGTCCGTTAGCCCCCAAAGTTTACTCATCTGCCTTTGTAATCCATCCTTCCCGCCCCACCCTCAATCCTGGGCACCCATTAATCAGCTTTCTGTTATTATAAATTAGTTTGTGTTGCAATAGATTTATTATCAGTGGAGTCATACAATACGCATGCTTTTGTTTTTTTCTGGCCTCTTTCACTCAGCATAACTATTTTGAGATTCATTTGTGTTGTTATGTGTATCAATAGTTTGTTCCTTTTATTGGTAAGTAGTATTCCATTCTAAAGATACACCATTCATTTTTATTTTTATTTTATTTTATTTTTTATTTTTATTTACTTTTTTATTATTATCATACTTTAAGTTCTAGGGTACATGTGCACAACGTGCAGGTTTGTTACATATAAGCTTGTGCTATTTTAGTGTTTACTTTAGCGTTTATCATATACATCTTTAACATGTCAGAGTGTATTTTTAAGTGATATTACAACAATTCATGCATAAAAATCCTTAGCTTCCATATCTCCCTTCTAGGCTTTTGAACAATTGTTTTCATTAGTTTTATCTCTACATATATCATAAGCCCTAAATACATTGTTACTATTTTGATTTAAAATATATTTTTTAAGCTGGGCATGGTGGGTCATACCTGTAATCCCAGACATATTTTTCTGTCAATTCTTTAAAAAAATAGCTCCACTGCCTCCTGCCTTACATGGTTTCTGATGAAAAATCTGCTGTCATCCTTGTTTTTATGCCTCTGTAATATGTCTTTTTTTTTTTCTTCCTGTGGTTGCTTTTTTTTTTTTTTTTTTTTTTTTCAGAGTTGGATGGGATCTTATGTTGCTCAGGCTGGCCTGAAACTCTTGGGCTCAAGCCATCCTACAGTCACAGCCTCCAGAGTAACTGGGACTACAGGCACATGCCACCATACCTGGCTTAGTCTGTTAAAATTTTATCTTATCCATGGCTTTGAGCAATATGATTATGTTGGGTTTTGGTGATTTTTTTTTCATATGTCTTGTGCTTGGTGTTCATTGAGCTTCTGGTCTGTGAGTTTAAGGTTTTCCTCAAATTTAAAAAATTTTTGGCCATTATTTCTTCAAACATTTTTGTCCTTCCTCTTTACATTTCTGGGATTCCAATTACATGTATATTAAGAGATTTGAAGTTACTCCTAGCCCTTTTCATTTTCTAAAGTTACTTTTCCCTTCAATTTCTATGTCTCCAAGTCACTAATATTTTCTTCTGCAATATCTTATCTGCCATTAATTCCATCCAGAGTATCTTTACTCTCAGGTATTATAGTTTTAATTTCTAAAAGTTGTAGTTTGGACCTTTTTATGTTTTGTGTGTCTCTACTTAGCTTGTTGAACCCATGGACTACAGTTACAATAAAAGTTTTAATGTCCTTCTTACTAACTGTATCATCTGTGTCCATTCTGGGTCTGTTTCAATTGACCAGTTTTTCTCCTTATTGTAAGCTATGTTTTTCTGCTTCCTGCAAGTCTGGTAATCATTGTATTCCAGATGTTATGAATTCACTTCATTGGATACTGGATATTTTTGTATTCCTATACCTCCTCTTTAGCTTTGTCCTTGAGCAGTTAAGTTGGTTGGAAAGAATTTGAAACTTCCAGGTCTCACTTTTAAGGTTTGTTAGGTGGAACTGGGGCAGGGTGTGCTCAGTCTAGGACTAATTATTCTCCACTATTCAGGCAAGACCCTTTTGTGTACTCTACCAAATGCTCATGAATTATAAGGTTGTTTTCCAGTCTGGTTGGCACGAACAGGCACTATTACTAGCCCTGAGTGAGCACCAGGCACGGTTCCCTCTGAAGTTCCCACATGGTTCTTTCCCCAGCCTTGGATAATTTCCAGGATGCATGCGCTGATCAATAAGTGTTCTGCTGGGTCCTCAAGGGGGACATTCTATAGATCTCTTAGGATCTCTCTGGGAAGTCTTTACCCTACAGTATTCTGTCCTGAGACTTCTAGATGTTTTGATTTCCTCAGACTCTCAGTTCTAGCTCCTCAAACCAGGGAGTCCAGCAGTCTCTGTCTGAGTGTCCTTTCTCTGCGCTGCAACTTAGAAATCTCTCAAGGAAGGCCGGGCGCAGTGGCTCACACCTGTAATTTCAGCACTTTAGGAGGCCAAGATGGACATATCACCTGAGGTCAGGAGTTTGAGACCAGCCTGGCCAACATAGAGAAACCCTGTCTCCACTAAAAATATAAAAATTAGCCAGGCATGGTGGTGCATGCCTGTAGTCCCAGCTACTCGAGAGGCTGAGGCGAGAGAATCACTTGAACCTAGGAGGTGGAGGTTGCAGTGAGCCAAAATTACACCACTGCACTACAGCCTGGGCAAGACTCCGTCTCAAAAAAAAAAAAAAAAAATCTCTCAAGGCAGTAAGCTGAGTGCAATCATAGGAATCCCCTTGTTTGTATTCCAGCTCCCAGAGAGCACCATCCTTCTTCACCTGGTGTGCTGTCTTAAAACCTGTTGTTTTATATATTTTGTCTGGGTTTTTTGTTGTATTGTTTCAGGCAGAAGGGAAAATCTTGTTCCTGTTACTCTATCTTGGTTGCAAGACAAAGTTGACATGTATCCATTTACAAAGGAATTACATGTAGTTATAGAAAATATACAGACTGGATTTTTTTTCTACCTCTGATATTAATCTGCAACTTATTTGGTCATTTAAAAATGTTTTGGCTGAGAATAGTGGCTCATACCTGTAATCCCAGAACTCTGGGAGGCTGAGGTGGGAGGGTCATTTGGGGTCAAAAGCTGGAGACCAGCCTGGGCAACGTAGTGATACCATATCTGTACAAAAAGTTTAAGAACTAGCCAGGCAGTGGCACATGTTTGTGGTCCCAGCTACTCAGGAGGCTGAGATGGGAGGATCACTTGAGCCCCGGTAGGTCGAGGCTGCAGTGATCTTTGATTGTGCCACTGCACTCTAGCCTGGGTGACAGAGTAACACCTTGTCTCAAAAAAATAAAATAAAATAAAATAATATTTTTGAGTTTATATCGTGTAACTTCTGTAAAATATTCTATTACATGAATGTGTTGTATCATATTTACCCATACCCCATTGATGAATGCTTATGTCATTTCCAATCTTTGTTATTACAAACAATGCTGCAACCAGTGTCCTTATGCATGTCTCCTTGTACCCACATGTAAGAGTTTGCTTAGGGAAAATACATCGGTCAAATTCCTCTACAGTGTAATCATATCAATTTATATTCCTACAATGTATGAGGGTCTATGTCTCTGCAATCTTGCCAATATTTGATATGAACAAGCTTTAAAAATTTGCCGATCGGTTAACTCATTAGTATTTTAATTTGCATTTATCTTATTTCTAGTGGGTTAAGTACCTTTTTCAATTTTTTTGTTTTTAAAAGATGGGGTCTTGCTCTGGAGTGCAGTAGTGCAATCATAGGTCACTGCAGTCTCAAACTCTTGAGCTCAAGGGATCTGCCCACCTCAGCCTCCCAATTAGCCTGACTACAGGTGCATGCCACCATACTTGGCTAATTTTTAAATTTTTTTGTAGAGACAGGATCTTGTGTATTGCCTAGGCTGGTCTCAAACTCCTGGGCTCAAGTGATCCTCCCACCTCAGCCTCCTGAGTAGCTAGATTACAGGTCTGTGCCACTGCATCTGGCTAATTATTATTATTATTATTTTTTGTAGAGACAGTGTCTCACTATGCTGCCAAGGCTGGGCTAATCTCAAACTCCTGGCCTCAAGCAATTCCTGGACCTTCCAAAGCTCCTGGCCCATTTTCAGACAATAATTTCATTGCCTATTTTTATTTCTTCTAGAAATTTTCTGTTTAGTCTTTGTTTACACTTATATTGAATTATTTTTATTATATTTTAACTTACTTGAAAAAATGCTTTAAAATTTGGATACTCACCTTTGTTATATAGCAAAGATTAATAATTAATATAAATTAATTTATCCAAGTCTATTCCCTGCTTTAGAACTTCTCTTGTCTTGCTGCAGATAATTTAAATTTGTATCTGGTTGGGTTTATCAGATTTTTATTCTATGCCTTTTGATTCTTTTTTTTTTTTTTTTTGCCTTAAGAAAGCTCTTCCTGGCCGGGCGCGGTAGCTCACGCCTGTAATCTCAGCACTTTGGGAGGCCGAGGTGGGCAGATCACAAGGTCAGGAGATCAAGACCATCCTGGCCAACACGGTGAAACCCCGTCTGTACCAAGAATCCAAAAAAATTAGCCAGGCGTGGTGGTGGGTGCCTGTAGTCCCAGCTACTCGGGAGGCTGAGGCAGGAGAATGGCATGAAGCCGGGAGGTGGAGCTTGCAGTGAGCCGAGATTGCACCACTGCACTCCAGCCTGGGCGACAGAGCGAGACTCCATCTCAAAAAAAAAAAAAAAAAAAAAAATGCTCTTCCAGGCTGGGCATAGTGGCTCACGCCTGTAATCCCAGCACTTTGGGAGGCTGAGGTGGGCAGATCATCTGAGGTAAAGGGTTCCAGACCAGCCTGGCCAACATGCTGAAACCCCGTCTCTACTAAAAATACAAAAATTAGTTCGGTGTGGTGACAGGTGCCTGTAATCCCAGCTACTTGGGAGGCTGAGGCAGGAGAATTACTTGAGCCCAGGAGACAGAGGTTTCAGTGAGCTGAGATTGTGCCATTGCACTCCAGCTTGGGCGACAAGAGCGAAACTCCATCTCAAAAAAAAAAAGAAAGCTCTTCCTTTTACCAAATTGTTAAGAGATTCTCTTGTATTCTCTCTTAATAATTTGAAAGTTAGCTCTCTCCCTCTCCCTCTCCCTCTCCCTCTCCCTCTCCCTCTCCTCCCTCTCCCTCTCCCTCTCCCTCTCCCTCTCCCTCTCCTTTCCCTCTCCCCTCCCTCTCCCTCTCCCTCTCCCTCTCCCTCTCCCTCTCCTTTCCCTCTCCCCACGGTCTCCCTCTCATGCGGAGCCAAAGCTGGACTGTACTGCTGCCATCTCGGCTCACTGCAACCTCCCTGCCTGATTCTCCTGCCTCAGTCTGCCGAATGCCTGCAATTGCAGGCACGCGCCGCCACGCCTGACTGGTTTTGGTGGAGACGGGGTTTCGCTGTGTTGACCGGGCCGGTCTCCAGCCCCTAACCGCGAGTGATCCGCCAACCTCGGCCTCCCGAGGTGCCGGGATTGCAGACGGAGTCTCGTTCACTCAGTGCTCAATGGTGCCCAGGCTGGAGTGCAGTGGCGTGATCTCGGCTCGCTACAACCTCCACCTCCCAGCCGCCTGCCTTGGCCTCCCAAAGTGCCGAGATTGCAGCCTCTGCCCGGCCGCCACCCCGTCTGGGAAGTGAGGAGTGTCTCTGCCTGGCCGCCCATTGTCTGGGATGTGAGGAGCCCCTCTGCCTGGCTGCCCAGTCTGGAAAGTGAGGAGCATCTCCGCCCGGCCGCCATCCCATCTAGGAAGTGAGGAGCGCCTCTTCCCAGCCGCCATCACATTTAGGAAGTGAGGAGCCTCTCTGCCCGGCCGCCCATCGTCTGAGATGTGGGGAGCGCCTCTGCCCCGCCGCCCCATCTGGGATGTGAGGAGCGCCTCTGCCCGGCCGAGACCCCGTCTGGGAGGTGAGGAGCGTCTCTGCCCGGCCGCCCCGTCTGAGAAGTGAGGAGACCCTCTGCCTGGCAACCGCCCCGTCTGAGAAGTGAGGAGCCCCTCCGCCCGGCAGCTGCCCTGTCTGAGAAGTGAGGAGCCTCTCCGCCCGGCAGCCACCCCATCTGGGAAGTGAGGAGCGTCTCCGCCCGGCAGCCACCCCGTCCGGGAGGGAGGTGGGGGGGGTCAGCCCCCCGCCCGGCCAGCCGCCCCATCCGGGAGGGAGGTGGGGGGTCAGCCCCCCCGCCCGGCCAGCCGTGCCGTCCGGGAGGGAGGTGGGGGGGTCAGCCCCCCGCCCGGCCAGCCGCCCCGTCCGGGAGGTGAGGGGCGCCTCTGCCCGGCCGCCCCTACTGGGAAGTGAGGAGCCCCTCTGCCCGGCCAGCCGCCCCATCCGGGAGGGAGGTGGGGGGGTCGGCCCCCCGCCCGGCCAGCCGCCCCGTCCGGGAGGGAGGTGGGGGTGTCGGCCCCCCGCCTGGCCAGCCGCCCCGTCCGGGAGGGAGGTGGGGGGGTCAGCCCCCCGCCCGGCCAGCCGCCCCGTCCGGGAGGGAGGTGGGGGGGGTCAGCCCCCCCGCCCGGCCAGCCGCCCCGTCCGGGAGGTGAGGGGCGCCTCTGCCCGGCCGCCCCTACTGGGAAGTGAGGAGCCCCTCTGACCAGCCAGCCGCCCCGTCCGGGAGGGAGGTAGGGGGGTCAGCCCCCCGCCCGGCCAGCCGCCCCCTCCGGGAGGGAGGTGGGGGGGGTCAGCCCCCCTGCCCGGCCAGCCGCCCCGTCCGGGAGGTGAGGGGCGCCTCTGCCCGGCCGCCCCTACTGGGAAGTGAGGAGCCCCTCTGCCTGGCCACCACCCCGTCTGGGAGGTGTGCCCAACAGCTCATTGAGAACGGGCCAGGATGACAATGGCGGCTTTGTGGAATAGAAAGGCGGGAAAGGTGGGGAAAAGATTGAGAAATCGGATGGTTGCCGTGTCTGTGTAGAAAGAAGTAGACATGGGAGACTTTTCATTTTGTTCTGCACTAAGAAAAATTCCTCTGCCTTGGGAATCCTGTTGATCTGTGACCTTACCCCCAACCCTGTGCTCCCTGAAACATGTGCTGTGTCCACTCAGGGTTAAATGGATTAAGGGCGGTGCAAGATGTGCTTTGTTAAACAGATGCTTGAAGGCAGCATGCTCGTTAAGAGTCATCACCAATCCCTAATCTCAAGTAATCAGGGACACAAACACTGCGGAAGGCCGCAGGGTCCTCTGCCTAGGAAAACCAGAGACCTTTGTTCACTGGTTTATCTGCTGACCTTCCCTCCACTATTGTCCCATGACCCTGCCAAATCCCCCTCTGTGAGAAACACCCAAGAATTATCAATAAAAAAATAAATTAAAAAAAAAAATAATAATAATAATAATTTGAAAGTTAATGTTTTACAATTAGATCTTTAATCTATCCAAAGCTTACTTTTGTGTATAGGGTGAGACAGAAATATAAATTGCATTGTGTATGTGTGTGTGTGTGTGTGTATCCTCCCAACACCATTTGAACTGTCTTTTGACCATTTAAATGTGTCTATCATTTATCATATTCCAAACACATACATGAGTCTGTGTCTTACATTTTTGTTCTGTTCCATTAATCTTTTTTTCACTTTTCTTGTACCAATATTCAGTGTTTTAACTACTGTTGTTTTATCATATCTTGCTATATTGTAAGACAAATCCTTGTTATTCTTTCTCAAAGTGATCTTGAATTTACTCTCCCATATGAATTTTGCAATCAGTTTTATGTTCCAAGAAAGTCTTGTTAATTTGGTTGAGTTAGCATTGAATCTGTAGATTAATTAAGGAATCATGACTATCTTTACAATATTGAGACATTTTATCCATTAACATGGTATAGCTTGCTATTCCGTCAGATTTCTTTTTATGTTTTTCACTAAAGCTTTGTAGTATTTGCAATAATGCTCTCACACAGTTTTATTGAATTTATTTCTAGTTACTTTATAGTTTTACTTGTTGATTTAAATGGGACCTTCCCCCCGCACCCAGTTGGATATTGTTGTCATATAAGAAAGCTCTTGGTGTTTGATAACTCCCCACCAAGCTATATTCACTTATTAGTTCTAATAGTTTCTCAGGTGACTCACTTGGATCCAAGTCCACCTTCTTGTCTTAGCTCAGAATAAGTTCTAAATGACAATTTGTTAAATGAATTTTTAAAGTGATTGATCATTTTGTAGATTCCTGAGTTACCAGTCTGAGCCTGTGTTCTCCATTCTGGGAGTAGAAAGATACTGAACGCTAGCTATGGTCACTGATAACACTAGATTGTTTTTCCATTTGTCCTTTTCTTGCAACAGCAATAACCAAAGCAAACATCCCTCAAAAAACTTCTCTAGCTGAATTTCATTACTTGGGTTTCAGGTTTTAATATATGAAGTTCATCTTTTGGAACAGATTTTATCTCAAAATCTGAAGCAAGAAATAAATTGCTATGTATGAAGGCATTCACTAAAAAAGCAGCTGGAAATGGTGCTGGGTGTGGGAGCACCCATGATCAAGGCACCAGGAACACCTGCAAGGTTGTGAGTGAGGATCCCGAGGCTACAGGAGGATATGTAGAATAAAAGTGCCCTCTGCACAGCCACACTTTTTCACCCCATCCCATCCCTCCTCTCTGCTCTGCACCTACCACTCCCCACCCAGGGCATTCTAAGTGTGTTTAGCAATACACCATACTAAGAATCACCCACACTTTGCCATTCTGTTTGTGGGAAACCAAACACTGCTCATGCTTCTAGTGAGTAAACAATTCAAAGTAAACTGCAAGTAGACAAGAGAGATTTAATCTCCTGTGTGAGGAAGGGTATTGCATAAGTGAAGAGAGGAACTTAAGATTCATGCTTAAATACACGCACTGGAATGCTGTGTCTCTGACAAACAGAAATCAAATCAGCACAAAGGTAATATTTTACTTAAGCTTCTGTCCCTCTGTTGACATTTTGGAATAAAACTTTCCAGATAATTTTATGTATGTATGCAAAATCTACAAGGCAATTGACTCCTGTATAATAATGAATGCTTAAGAAGGTAACAAGACTAGGCATGGTGGCCCACACATGTAATCCCAGTACTTTAGAGGCCAAGGCAGGTGGATTCCCTGAGCCCAGGAGTTCGAGACCTGCCTAGGTAATGTAGTGAGACTCCTGTCTCTACAAAAAATAAAAATAAAAAAATTGGCCAGGCGTGGTGGGGTACATCTGTAGTCCCAGACACTCAAGAGGCTGAGGTGGAGGGACTGCTTGAACCTCAGGACGACGACGCTGCAGTGAGCTGTGATCATGCCACTACACTTTGCACTCCAGCCTCGGAGACAGAGCAAGACCCTGTCTCAAAAACAAGAAGGTAGCAAAAGAAGATTTAATATTTTCTGATAGGAATGGAAAACCAAACATCGTGTGTTCTCACTGATGTGTAGGAGCTAAGCTATGAGGATGCAAAGGCATAAGAATGATACAGTGAACTTTGGGGACTTGAGGGAAGAGTGGGAGGGGGCAAGGGATAAAAGACAACCAATATGGTGCACTGTATTCTCCTCGGGTGATGGGTGCACCAAAATCTCACAAACCACCACTAAAGAACTTACTCATGGCCGGGCGTGGTGGCTCATGCCTGTAATCCCAGCACTTTGGGAGGCCGAGGCGGGCGGATCACGAGGTCAGGAGATCAAGACCATCCTGGCTAACACGGTGAAACCCCATCTCTACTAAAAATACAAAAAATTAGCTGGGCGTGGTGGCGGGCGCCTGTAATCCCAGCTACAGGAGGCTGAGGCAGGAGAATGGCGTGAACCTGGTAGGCGGAGCTTGCAGTGAGCTGAGATCCAGCCACTGCACTCCAGCCTGGGGGACAGAGCGAGACTCCGTCTCAGAAAAAAAAAGAACTTACTCATTAACCAAATACCACCTGTACCCCAATAACGTATGGAAAAAAAATTCTGATATGTTTCTCCTGCATTTGGATGAGGATGTAAATTCAACTCTAATAAATTACAGTGTATCAAAAGGATTAAAGGGTCTCTCCCTGCATTCTCTCCTAGCTCTGTTCCATCCTACACACAGCTGCTGGATTAATCTTCCAAAACACCAATTTTCTCATGCCACTTTTCAAAAACTAGCTTCCTGGCTTCCTGTTGTCTAAAAACTAGTTTCAGATGCTTTTGTCTGGCATTCAAGAAGGTCAGTAGTCTAGAGCCTCCTAAATGTTTCACTCCTGCTCCTTCCTTCTACCACTTACCACCTGTGTGCTCTTGGGTTAGTTGTTATTATTATTATTATTTTTTGAGATGGAGTCTCACTCTGTCGCCAGGCTGGAGTACAATGGTGTGATCTCAACTCACTGCAACCTCCCCCTCCTGGGTTTAAGTGATTCTCCCACCTCAGCCTCCTAAGTAGCTGAGAGTACAGGCGCCTGCCACCACGCCCAGCTTGGGCTAATTATTTTAAGACCGGTCCCCCTGTCCCTGTAAAGATCCCACGCACCTCCTCCACTCAGTGGCTCACTGTAGCAATGCCCTGAAAGGCTGTAATTGAGTCATATTCCAGCCCCTGGACTCAGGAGTCAGGGGTGATGTCGCCACCACCTAATTGCTTGGATTGAGGATGGGAACAGTGATTCTCAAGAAGAAAACTTGGACACTATTACCAGAAGTTAGTACAACTGCCTTAAAGCACTCTGGGCAAAATTTAACAACTGTCTGTTCCAAAAATGCAGAGACATGGAAACTTAGTAACTCTTGTTGGGGCATCTTCCATCACATATGATTCACTAAGGGTATATCAAGCAAATTCAACTGTAGGAACTGGCACATTCTGAGGCATAGGGTCTCTTATGTTCCTAAATTTATATTTTACCATCGTGGTTCTAGCCACTTTTCTGTAGATCAGTCCCACTTGAGCAGCCCAGTTTGCTGGGTTTTATCTGTATGGAATGTACATATCCTTTGAAGTAAGACACATGTGGTTCAATAATGTAACTTTTTAGATTGCAGAAATTTCACTGTAACACTTACCTCAAATGGCATAAAATAAGCAAAAACATGTATTCTGTGATGAATCAAACAAAATATATTTTGAGTTGTTGTTTCCCCCATTTAAAACAGCACATTTCTGATCATTGTCATCTGTTTGTGAAAAGACATGAGACCAACAGTCCTTTCCACACTTACGGCTGCAGCCTTGTGCCCATGAGTTAAAGCCTCGGAATTTGCCTGAAACTTTCCCTGTCAATCCGAGATGGTCATGACCAAGCCACTTTGCTTCCATACATCTTCAGTGCCTCCTTCCACACACACATCTTTCCTGGTTTAAACTTTCATTTCTCCAGTACTATAGCAAAACAGTATTTGCAAATCTCTTTTGACCACAAACTCCTAACAGTCAGGGACTTCTCATTTGGATTTCCCCAGGGCTTGGAATTTTGTTTTGTTCATGGGGAGGGGGTGAGATTTTTAAAATTGCATTAATGAATGAAACCAATCAATCCATTGCTCCATGCTGTGTACAAACACTGTAATAAATATTGGTTGACTTCTTATAACTAAGGCAATAGGAGCTTCTCTCAATAAACTAAATTCCAAGGAAAGAATGAAGGTAGGAAAGTAGCTGGTTTATTTGCACCTACTATATGACAGGCCTTAGTTTAGGTTTGTTTGTTTGCTTGCCTGGAGACAGGGTCTCATTCTGTCACCCAGTGGTGTGGTCTGATCATAGCTCCCTGAGGTCTGTAACTCCTTGGCTCAAGTGACCCTCGTGCTTCACCCTCCGAGAGTAGCAGGGACTACAGGCATGTACCACCATGCTCAGCTAATTTTTTTTTTTTTTTGTCAGAGTCTTGCTCTATCACCCAGGCTGGAGTGCAGTGGCACAATCTCAGCTCACTGCAGCTCTGCCTCCCAGGTTTAAGCGATTCTCCTGCCTCAGCCTCCCAAGTAGTTGGGTGCCTGCCACCACACCTGGCTAATTTTTGTATTTGTATTTGTATTTATTTATTTATTTATTTATTTTGAGATGGAGTCTCACTCTGTCACCCAGGCTGGAGTGCAGTGGCATGATCTCAGCTCACTGATCCTCCACCTCCTGGATTCAAGTGATTCTCCTGCCTCAGCCTCCCAAGTAGCTGGGATTACAGGTGCCTGTCACCACGCCCAGCTAATTTTTGTATTTTAAGCAGAGACGGGGTTTCACCATGTTGGGCAGTCTGATCTCGAACTTCTGACTTCAAGCGATCCACCCACCTTGGCCTCCCAAAGTGCTGGGATCCAGCTAATATTTAAATTATTTTGTAGAGACTGGGTCTCAAAATGTTGCATAGGCTGGTCTTGAACTCCTTGCCTCAAGCAATCCTGCCACCTTGGCCTCCGAAAGTGCTGAAATTGCATGTGTGAGCCACCATGCCCAGCCAGTATTTTCACATAAACATTATTTCAGTGAATTCTCACAATCCTGCAGACACTTGCAGACTCAGTTTTGGTTTCTTACTTAATGTAACACAACCTTAGAGTGACAGGTCCATCAGCGAAATCCAGCATATTTGACTCCATGATTACCAAATGCACTATCTCCATTTATTGGAAAAGGAAAATTGGAGGTCACTCAAAGAGCAGTGAAGTTATGGAAATATGAAATTTTTCACATGACTCTGAGATTGAGTGTTTGGGTACTATCGGGAAATGTTAAAAATGTCCATTTTCTTTTCTTTCTTTCTTTCTTTTTTTTTTTTTTTTTTTTTTGAGACAGAGTCTCACTCTGTCGCCCAGGCTGGAGTGCCGTGGTGCAATCTCAGCTTACTGCAACCTCCACCTCCCAGGTTCAAGCGATTCTTTTGCCTCAGCTTCCTGAGTGGCTGGGAGTACAGGCATGTGCCACCAATCCAGCTAAGTTTTTTGTATTTTTAGTAGCGGTGGGGTTTCATCACATTGGCCAGGCTGGCCTCGAACTCCTGACCTCAAATAATCCACCTGCCTTGGGCTCCCAAAGTGCTGGGGTTACAGGTGTGAGCCACTGCACCCAGCCCAAAAATGTCTATTTTCAATAGTGGTTTAAAACACTCTTGGACAGCAAAAGAAATAAAAGTTGAAGGACATTGTGACAGCAAATTGATTGTATGGGAACTCTGGTGAATGCGAATCATTTTTAAATTACTTTTTTTGTAAAGTGCAAAACAACAATAGCACCCATTTGCGTCATACTTTATAGTTCGCAAAGCACATGGGAAAAATAAAGGTAATGATGGGGATCGTTGCAATTCATAGGAAAGGAGGCACGAGGAAATGAAAATGAAAGGGAGTAATAACTACGTAACTAGTCAATCTTCCTTAAAAAAAAAAACCCTTAAAATATACCACCATCTTCTATTTGATATAATGCAGAATGGGAATGATAAAAACATGAATTACATTTCAGAGTTTCAAAAAGCAAACCAGCTTTATAGCAATGCTTGAGGTTGGGCTGCTAACAAGCTCACTCAACTAGTGTTTCCTGACGGCCAACGTCAGAATAATTCCATCTCCATGAGAAGTACAGAAAGAACCACAAACCAAACCTCCAAATTGATTCTAAGATAAAATACCCTTAAAAAAAATTTCCCTTCCTATCCGAAGGCAGACCAAGAGGAAGTTTATCCTCCCACCTACAAATTCCCCAGAGAGCTTTCATCTAGAAGGTTTGACTCTGGCCAGACAACCAGCGAGCATCTTCTCGCAATCTGTTGCTTCTTCCATGGCAAACTCCAGAGAATTAAGAAGCCAAACTCAACATCGCCATGGGCCTCAGGACGACTAAACAGATGGGGAGAGGCACTAAAGCTCCTGGTCACCAAGAGGGTATGTAGGCATTTGCTGTCTTCCTGGATTTCTCAGAGCTGAGTTTTTAGCCAGAGGTTGCTTATTTACGATAATTCTTGGATATATTATACACTAAATACTATTATTATCTTTTTCGACCCGACTTTTATCTTTCTGTTCTTATGTGTGAAGGCAGAGAAAGATTATTTAGAGCTCTTCAAAGATTCCTATTTAATTTAAAATGCCTGTCGCCTTCCTATAATAGGCTTATGATGGATGATAGCTTTAGTTAAAATGTAGCAATCTTAAATATATTCTTCATAACCAATTCCAACGTGTTCTCACTTAAGTAATGGGTATAAAACCCCACTTAAGCGTAATATTTTAAATATTTGAAGCCATCTTTTCTGAGAGAACCCGAAGCTGTTTTTTCTAGAGAAGCTGTGAGTGTGTATTGGGCGACTTCTGTTCACTCCTTTTCTGCAGCACTCACCCTGGAGGTCATGTAGTAACTAATGCCAAAGAAAAATCAAAATAGAAAGTACCAGCGTGTGCCATCATGCAGCGGCAGAGCCTGCTTAAAGATCAGGAAATTTGTCTAAATATCAGATCGCCGGCGGGCATCTCAGCCCAGGCCTGTGTAAGGGGAGTTCTGGTGTCTCAGCTGAGGGCGTGAGTAGGGAGCCAGGAAAGCGACCCGCGACTGCAGCCGTTTCTTAAGGCCAGTCCTTCGCTCGCAGTCTGTCCCGGGCGGCAGTCGTGTCAGCCCCCCGCTAGGACCCGCCCAGGGGGACGTGGGTACCGGGCAGGACGCGCGCTCTGGGCGCTGGGGACGCCCGGGACACTCGGGGCCCCGCCTTGCGTCCCAGCCCCGGGTCGCGGCACCCCGGCTCCCGCCCCGCGCCTCTGGAGGGAGGTACCGAGGGACGCGCAGCGAAGGGGCTTTGCTAATTGCCAAAGCAGGAAGTGAGCTCGTGGAAGAAGCGAAGGAGGAGAAGAAGAAGGGAGGGGAAGGCGGAGGAGGGCAGGGGCGCGCAGAGCCACGGTTTGCTCCAGGCGCGTCGGAACCGCAGGACTTTTCATCCCCGTGGTCCCACGGTCCTCCCGCGCCCCGGAGGCCTGCCAGCCCCGCTCGGACGCTCGTTTGCCCCTAACCCGCCGCCATGGCTTCACCGGACGACCCTCTGCGCGCAGGTAAAGGGACACAGCGCCGCGCCCGCTCCTGGAGCGAGCACCGCGGGGCGGGAGCTCGGGAGGCGCTCGCAGCAGCCGCAGGGCTATCGAGGCCGGGCCTCGGCGACCCCCGAGGGAGGCCCGGGAACCACCCCCGACCCAGGCGCCAGACCCGGAGTCGCACGGGGCTCCCAGTCCAGCCCCGCGAGCGGCTGCTGACCGCCCCTCCCGCGCTCGCCAGGGCCCCTGCCCCGCGTCAGCCACCGCGCGCCTTCCCCCTGCCCATGCCGCAGCCCCCGTGGCTTTTGTTCTGGACTCGGGATGCCAGGTTGAGACACGTCCTGCAAACCTCTGGCAGAAATGGGCGCAAGGGGGTGGATTTCGTTTTCGCCTCCCGGGCTTTTTCTTTCTCCCCGCTCACATGCCTTCTCATTACTCCTCTTCCTCTCTCCCATTGCACTTTGATGAAATGGTTTTGTCTGTCTAAACATTGGCCCTCGGAGCTATTTCATCAGATAGTATCCGCAGAATCGAGAGGCGGATCCCACCTGTGGGATCCCATCTGTGATTAGAATGGCCTCTAGTTCTGTCTTTATTTTAAAATATTGTGTGTTGGTACCCGAGGTCGGAGTGGAGATTTTTCTCTATTCTCTCACGTGAATCTAAAATCCGTCCCAGACCTCGCTTTCCTGGAGTTCTCTCTCTCCGCTGTCCTATAACCTAGACGGTGACATCCGTGGGTGTTTCTTGAACACACGAATGAATGATCTATCCCTCAGAGTACACTGGGGCTTTACTTGGTTTTGTTGAGGTTGGAAACACTGAAGAGAGTTACACAGAACCTGATATAACCGTTTAGATAAACGCGTTTCCTATTTCATTTCTTGAGCTTGGGCAGGGGCCGAGTTTGAATGTTCCATCCTTAAATTGTGGCTTCAGCAGTCAAAAGGAGACAGTGTGTCTGCAGGTGGTCAGAAGACTACACCCAACAACTAAGTTGGCATTGTGATGGCTGGGTTTGGGGGCGTTTCTTGGAAACTTCAAAGAAAGATCTACCTTTTTTTTTTTTAAGTGGGGATTGTTAAACATTTTATCAATTGGATGCGGAAAATAAATACATTGTCTAGATATTCTTCCCCATCCCCATACCTATTGTTTGAAAAAACAGAAGGGGAAACAAAGGGAGAAACCCTCCTACTGCCCCATCCCACTCCACTCCTACCCTAGCATCCACCTCCTTTTCTGAGAACTGAATTGACAAGGTGCCAAGGGGTGTTTTAGGCTGGATTTTACTACTAGTGGCCTCAGATCTCATTAAATGATGATTGCAGGGGTGGGGGGTGGGGGAATTCAAAAAGATCTTGAGAGAGATACACTGCATGGAGATAAAATGTAAAATCTACTTGGGCTCCCCTAAATCGACAGTACCAGGCAAGATGGGGGCTGGGAAACAGCTCAGCAGTGACCACAGTGTGTAAAAAGCTCAGTGGCTGGGTGCAGTGGCTCAGGCCTGTAATGCCAGCACTTTGGGAGGCTGAGGCAAGAGGATTGCTTCAGGCCAGGAGTTTGAGATCAGCCTTGGCAACATAGTGAGACCCTGACTCTACAAAAAATAGAAAAATTAGCCAAATGTGCCAGTGCATACCTATAGTCCCAGCTACTCGGGGGGCTGAGGCAGGAGGATTGCTTGAGTCCAGGAGGTCGAGGCTGCAGTAAGCCACTGCACTCCAGCCTGGGTGACAGAGCAAAAACCTGTATCTCAAAATAAATAAATAAATAAATAAAAAGCTACAGGTTCCAGATTTCCCAAGATGGTGTTCTTAGTCTGCCCAGCCCAGCCAAAATGGATGTGCACAACCTGGAACAAATGGGCAACATGGAACAAAGGGATTTCAAAATCCCAGGACATGTGGAGGAGTGAGAGGACAGAGGATATGATGATAAGAGGGCGTCATGTGGAAAGAATCTGTCTCTTTGACTTCAAGAGGTAGAACCCAAACCTGTCGGTGAAAACTTTAGAGAGAGATGGATTTGGGCTTCCTACAAAGAGAAAGGAGGCCTCCTAAGGGTGAGAGCTCCCCACCAGTTGGCAGAGGATGCTGAAGAACATACTTGACCATCTGAAAGATGATCCAAATGTCCATTCCCGCTCTGGGACTCTATTCTGTCTATAAAATGAGCGCTCCTCCATTTAAACACAGGCGCACACACACACCCCAATTTCCCCTTCCTAACATATTGTTTCGTTTCTGCAACCCACAGGAGACATCCCCTTACTCCTATTTCTGTAATGAAACCATAGATGGTGCCCATATCTTGAGCTCGCTTTACCCCAGACCAAGTGACCATACTCTCTCGCCTGATTTCCCACACTCTTCTCCCGCCTGGTGTTTTCACACCATTCCAACGTAGGTTTTCACACCCACTCTTGCCTTCTGGTAACCTATTCTGCAAAAGGTTGCCAGGGCCATCTTTTATTTTATTTTTATTATTATTATTTTTCAAGATGGAGTCTCACTCTGTCACCCAGGCTGGAGTGCAGTGGCGTGATCCCCACTCACTGCAACCTCCGCCTCCCGGGTTCAAGAGATTCTCCTGTCTCAGCCTCCCAAGTAACTGGTATTACAGGTGCACACTACCACACCTGGCTAATTTTTTGTATTTTTAGGCTGGTCTCGAACTCCTGACCTCAAGTGATCCACCCACCTCGGCCTCCCAGAGTGCTGGGATTACTGGTGTGAACCACTGTGCCCAGCCAGTCGTCTTTTAAAAACAAATCGGATTCTGCCATTTGTCTGTGCTGGCTTTGAATCCGGTGCTGGCTTTCCAACACTCCGACAGATCCTCAGTCCTTGAGGCTTACACACTCTGTGCAATCAATCCCTACCTGTTCCTTCACTTGCCTCACCTGACACCTAGCTTGACCCCTGCTCTCTGCACGCAGCCGTGCTGCCTCCTTTCATTTCCTTGAAGCCTCTTGCACCCTCGTGCCTCCTGGCCTTTGCAAACTTTGTTCCTGCGGCCTGGAAGGACCCCTGCATTCCAGCCCTCACCCCATCCTCCACCCACCCGTTTCCTTCTACTTAACCTCCAGATTTCAGCTCATAGGTCACCGGGATCCAGCCCGATGTTATACATGCTCAGCAAACCCTGTACCTTTCCTTTCTGGCACCTGTCACAATTTCTAGCTGTGATTATTTGGCCACCGTGGCTATTTCCAGTAGGAAATAAACTCGTGGACAGAGGTCATGTCTGTGTGGTAGCTCTCCCTAACACTCAGCATAGTACTCCGCACATAGTAAGCCCTGGGCAAATACCACCTCAGTGAATGAAGGAAGGTTATAAAATTTAACCACAGGCTCTTTAAAGAGTTGGGGGGAGAAAAAGCTCTTCCCGTATTGGCATTTTAGGAACTTACTCATCGAGTTAGCCGTATTAACTAAGTTTTCTTTGTAAAGTTAAAGTAAGATGTTTGTATATCCACGTGCATATAACAAAAGTATGTATATGATTATAGTATATTATGAGTTAATTGTATTTATTTATTTATTAATTTTTTTGAGACAGAATCTCACTCTGTTGCCCAGGCTGGAGTGCAATGATGCGATCTTGGCTCACGGTGACCTCCACCTCCTGGGTTCAAGCAATTCTCCTGCCTTAGCCTCCCAAGTAGCTCGGATTACAGGGGTGTGCCACCACCCCTGGCTAATTTTTGTATTTCTTTTTTAGTAGAGACGGGGTTTCACCATGTTGGCCAGGCTGGCCTGGAACCACTGACCTCAAGTGATCTGACTGCTTCAGCTTCCCAAAGTGCTGGGATTACAGGCATGAGCCACCACGCCCTGGCCACACCCTGGCCATGAGTTAATTTTAAGTGACTTTTTACATTGAGAAAATTCACAAGACTGTCACAGTCACATGGAAGGAAAACAATGATGGTGGTTATAGTGTAGCTATCACCCTGTGTCTCTCCCACTGAGAAACAGTCTCACAATGGATGAGCCAGATTTGTCTGTCAAATGTTTGTAAAATCTGTTTGTTCATGATTGTTCATACAGATAGATTTTACAGACAGAAACAAACAACCGGGCTTTGAAGGTCTGGGTCAAAGGTGGCACAATTCCTTGCTTCGTTGCAGTAAGGCAAGTGCCGACGGCCACAGAGCATTGCAAAAGAGCACATTCTCCCTTTGTTCTGAGACTCCACACCGCAGGGCTGTTTCCTGGGGGAACCCTGGGCCTGGGCCACCAACTCAGGACAGCCCCAGTGGTGGCATTCACCTCTCACTGCCCCTCCTGTGGGCTTCAATGGGTCCAAGGTGGCAACCTACCCTCCTGTGGCATTGGGCGCAGTACCCAGGACTAAAGGATAAACCACTTCCTGGAGCACTCATATGTGCAAAGCTGGACCAGCCAATTCTTTCTGCAGATACACCAAAGAGAGGGATGGCAATCTGTGGTTTTCCCTTCTCTGCTCCTTCTGCCCTTTCTCTTTCTCCTCCACGTGGGTTTTCCCAATGCTCACTTCATTTCTCTTCCTTTCTTACAACGCCTCTGCTTTGTGAGTTTCCTTCTCTCTACCCAAGCATTTTCCCTGAGCTTTATCTCTTTGTTTGCTGTCTTCCCTCATCCTCCCCTGCCCTCTTCTGTTTGATCCCCCGTCAGTAGCCTGGCTGACACACTTAATGCTCGGCTGCCCTCCAGAGAGGTTGCTGTAGGGATGTACTTCTGTGATCCTTGCCCCTTTCCCAGCTTGTTCAGCCCCTGCTGCGGGGTCTGAGGTTGACAGAGTAGCCGAGGTCAGGGTGAGGTGCTGAAAAGACAGAGGAAGCTCAATGAAACAGTGTCAGCACCACCACGCAGCAGCACCCCTGCAGCTCTGAGAGCTTCTGGAATCCTGAATATGTCTCAGGACTCCAGAAAAACTTCCTTTTGTTTTTTCTGTCTCGCTCTGCACTCAGGCTGGAGTGCAATGACACGATCTTGGCTCATTGCAACTTCCATCTCCTGGGCTCAAGCAATCCTCCCACCTCAGCCTCCTGAGTAGCTGGGGCCACAGGCTTGTACCACCACACCCGGCTATTTTTTTTTTTTTTTTTTGTATTTTTAGTAGAGATGGGGTCTCGCCATATTGCCCAAGTAATCTCCTGAACTCAAGCAATCTGCCCTCCTTGGCCTCCCAAAGTGCTGGGATTATAGGAGTGAGCCACCACACCCCACCTCCAAGCCTTTTTTATATCCAATAATGACAATAGCAGTCAAAAGAAAAGTTATGGGCTGGGAGCGGTGGCTCACGCCTATAATCCCCAGCACTTTAGGAGGCCGAGGGAGGTGGATCACCTGAGGTCAGGAGTTCAAGAACCAGGCTGGCCAACATGGCGAAACCCCATGTCTAATAAAAATACAAAAATTAGCTGGGCACCTGTGATCTCAGCTATATGGGAGGCTGAGGTGGGAGAATCACTTGAACCCAGGAGGCAGAGGTTGCAGTGAGCTGAGATCACACTGCTGCACTACAGCCTGGGCGACAGAACAAGACTGTCTCAAATAAAAAAAAAAAAGCTATGGTACAAAACAACACACAAATAACAAATGAGAAAGAAATTAATCCTGCAATCACACATTCAAATAATTGCCTGTAATTCTTCACTAGAAAGCACAGTGACTGCACTTTTCTGGCTCAGGATGCTTGGGAAGGCCAGGAAGTCCTGACATACTTCCTTGTTTTCTCTGAAAGGACATCTTTAGAGATGTTTGAACTTCCTTTGAGAAACCGTCTCTAGGAAGCATTCACCGCTATCTGATGTCAGAATGCGGCAGTGCAGTCCTCGGCCGCCCCACCAGTGTCTGTTTCGGGTTATGTGCTGAGGATTCTTTCTGGAGAGGCTGTTGCATACAGTACGTGTTTCCCAGCATTCCTGAAGAGGCTCTGATTTGGTAGATGATGGGATTTGAGTCTTTGAGTTGAAGAAGAGTAGATGAGATTTAGGATTTAGAGTGGATGCTGGAATGATTAACGCTTTTGGGGATGTCGGGAGGAGGCAAATAGATTCTGCATGTGGAAAGGATGGGCAGGGGGCAGAGTGTGAACTGTTACGGGTTGAATTGTGCCCCTCTAAAAAGATATGTTGAAGTTGGAATTCCTAGTACCTCAGAATGTAACTTTCTTCGGAAACAGAGTCTTTCCAGAGGTAACCAATTCAAAATGAAATCATCAGAGTGGGCTCTAAACCAATATGATTGGTGCCCATATAAAAAGGGGAAATGGGACACACAGACACTCACCTTCTCAAGAGAGTCTGTCGGGTGGTCAGTGTATGAACCACTTCTATTTTATTTTGAGACCAAGTTTCGCTCTTGTTGCCCAGGCTGGAGTGCAGTGGTGCTGTCTCGGCTCACTGCAACCTCCACCTCCCGGGTTCAAGCGATTCTCCTGCTTCAGCTTCCTGAGTAGCTGAGATTACAGGCATCCATCACCGTGCCCAGTTAATTTTTTTATTTTTAATAGAGATGGGGTTTTCCCATATTGGTCAGGCTGGTCTCAAACTCCTGACCTCAGGTGATCTGCCCGCCTCGGCCTCCCAAAATACTGGGATTACAGATGTGAGCCACTGTGCCCAGCCCACTTCTATTTTAAATTTTATTTTATTGGCCAGGCGTGGTGGCTTGTGCCTGTAATCCCAGCATTTTGGGAAGCCAAGGTGGGTTCAGGAGTTTGAAACCAGCCTGGGTAACATAGTGAGACCCCCATCTCTACAAAAATAAAAATAAATTAGCCAGATGTGACAGCACATGTCTTTAGTCCTAGCTACTCAAGAGGAGGTGGAAGGATTGCTTGAGCCCAGGAGGTGGAGGCTGCAGTGAGCTGTGATTAAGCCACTGCACTCCAGCCTGGGTGAGAGAGTGAAACCCTGTCTCAAAATTTTTATTTTATTTTTTATTATTTTAAATAAGTAGAAATGAGGTCTCACTGTGTTGCCCAGGCTGTTCTCAAACATCCTGAACTCAAGCAATCCTCCCACCTTGGCTTCCCAAAGTGCTGGGACTACAGATGTCAGCCACCACACCTGGCCATGAGGCACTTCTAGAACCTGATTATACTGGAAAACAGGCAGATTATGAAGCCAGAAAGTCCCAGATACAAGTTCTGGCTTTTCCACTTACCTCTTACCCTGTGATCTTGGATACTCAATGTGTGAAAAAGGGGATGCCTAATGCCTTCCTCAGGGTTACTGGAAGGCTTAGCTGAGACTGTGTGTAAGCCATGCCATGCAGAGCAGACGCTAGGGAAGCTTTTAAACTTTTCAAACTTGTCTTGTCTTTTCTTTTTTTTTTGAGACAGAGTCTTGCTCTGTTTACCAGGCTGGAGTGCAGTGTTGAGATCTTGGCTCACCGAAATCTCCGCCTCCTGGGTTCAAGCGATTCTCCTGCCTCAGTGTCCCCAGTAGCTGGGATTACAAGCATGTGCCACCACGCCTGGCTAATTTTTGTATTTTTAGTAGAGATGGGGTTTCACCATGTTGGCCAGGCTGGTCTCGAACTTCTGACTTCAAGTGATCCACCCGCCTTGGCCTCCCAAAGTGCTGGGATTACGGGCGTGAGCCACCTGTTCGAACTTTTCTAAGTGAGAGCTTTGAAAGCTTTTTTCTTTTCTTTTTTCTTTTTTTGAGAAGGAGTCTCGCTCTGTCGACCAGGCTGGAGTGCAGTGGCGTGATCTCGACTCACTGCAACCTCCGCCTTCCGGGCTCACACCATTCTCCTGCCTCAGCCTCCTGAGTAGCTGGGACTACAGGTGCCCGCCACCATGCCCGGCTAATTTTTTGTATTTTTAGTAGAGACGGGGTTTCACCACGTTAGCCAGGATGGTCTCGATCTCCTGACCTCGTGATCCGCCTGCCTCGGCCTCCCAAAGTGCTGGGATTACAGGTGTGAGCCACCACGCCCAGCCTAGAGCTTTGAAAGTTTAATTGTGAACTTTCAGCTTGGAGGTGCTCTTTGACCCATGTGGATACTACTACTCACCACTCACGGACTTTTAAAGCAGGAAGGGGATGCAGAGGTGCTCTGTTCACCTCCTGAGATTTAAGTTGGGGATTTAGGACCCACAGAAAGAAAATGAGGGTGCAGCCCGCCCTGCCTGCTCTCACCCGCAGCCTCTGTGAGCCAGGCCAGGTGCCCTCGCCAGCCCTGATGCATCAGTTCACCAGGTTTCTCTCATGCCTTTTGAGGAACTTTCCAGAATATGCTTGAGGGAGTTACACCTCATTCTCACTGCCGGCAGAGATATCCCCAGCAGTCAGTTACCAGCTAATTTGAGGTGATCTGAGCCTTGTGCAGAGTCACCGACCTGGGGGAGCCCAGGCAGCTTTGGCAGAAAAGCACAGCCTGGCATAAGATGGCAGCCATGAGCAGAGGACAGATCCCGCACCGGCCCTGGCGAAACCACTGGCCTTGTCTCCGATGGGCTCACGTGGCCCCGCTTCTCCTCTGCTCCTCTGCCCGTCCTATTAGATATCAGAGCCTTGCCTGAAGGCTCAGCCTGCTGTTAGGCGGGGGCTGGGAAAAACAAACATTTTAAAGCTTCTAGATAAACGATTTGATTTTACACTTAATAGTATCGTAAACATGCAACTCCAAGTTCCTAAGAAAGACCTTAGGGCAGCTTTCCACTTCTGAATCAGTCTCAAATAACCAGGATCTGCTCTCCTCCAAATAACTTCCCTGGTACACACTCACATCTGGACCTGTGAGAACAAAAGGAGTCTGCCAGGATCTAAAATAAAGGCCAGGGAGAAGGTGCAGTTTCAGATACAGTGCATGGGCGCCACCGTGGGCCTGGGTCAATGAGTGTATTTGGCAGTAACATGTATGTAAGAACTTAATCCACAGCTTGATATAAGGCAAAGGCTGATAAAGTCAGAACCGCAATCAGAAAAATCATAAAAGACCTGACTAGCCTGGGCAATATAGCGAGACCCCGTCTCTACAAAAAACAGAAACAAAATCCCCCATACATTAGCTGGGCATGGTGACGCATGTCTGTGGTCCCAGCTACTTGGGAGGCTGAGGTGGGAGGATCGCTTGTGCTTGGGAGGTTGAGGCTGCAGTAAGCGGTGATCACATCGCGGCACTCCAGCCTGGGTGACACTGTGAGACGCCGTCTCAAAAAAAATGTCTGGCGCGGTGGCTCACACCTGTAATCCCAGCACTTTGGGAGGCTGAGGTGGGTGGATCATCTGAAGTCAGGAGTTTGAGACCATCCTGGTCCAACATGGGGAAACCCCATCTCTACTAAAAATGCAAAAACAAATCGGGCATAGTGGTGGGCACCTGTAATCCCAGCTACTCAGGATGCTGAGGCAGGAGAAACGCTTGAACTCAGGAGGCGGAGATTGGAGTGAGCCGAGATCACGCCACTGCACTCCAGCCTGGGCGACAGAGTGAGACTCCATCTCAAAAAAAAATTAAGTAATTAATTTTTAAAAAAAGACCTGAAAATGCCTCTAACACCTGTTCTAAAAGTAGTGCCTTTCCCAGTTCCCCTCTCACTTCATTGTTGTGCTTCAGAAAACAAAAAAACCTAAATTCTCTGTGTCTTTCTCATCTTAAGTTCCATTTATTCTGAGATGTCAGACCGAAGCAAGAGACTTTGTGCCTATAAACCTGTGATGTCTTCTGTCTCTATCTTGTTGGCCTCATAACCCTCCAACACAAGCCCTGGGATCTCACAGAACTCGGTCAGAGTCTGAGGAGTGTTGATTGAAATTCACCCACCCAGGTGGTTCCCAAATCCAGAATAATGGTAGTAAGCTGAGTGTGGGATCCGGAGACCTGGAACTCCTCATGGTGCAGAGGAAGAGCCCGAGGCTTAGAAAGCTTACGTGACTTCTCCAAGGTCACACCTCTAGGCTTGTCCAAGGCCACAGCTCTAGACTTGTTTAAGGCCAGACTGCTAGCTCTTAGTGATGTGCCACTGAGGACCGGTCCTTCCTTGCTTTTAACTGTCCTGTGTGTGTCCTCAATGATGCTTTTTTTGTGGCTCTGCCTTTCCCAGCGATCTACTGCATTTTCCTCTCCTTCCTTTCTTTTTCTTTCTTTCTTTCTTTCTTTCTTTCTTTCTTTCTTTCTTTCTTTCTTTCTTTCTTTCTTTCTTTTCTTTTTCTTTCTTTCTTTCCTTCCTTCCTTTCCTTCCTTCCTTCCTTCCTTCCTTCCTTCCTTCCTTCCTTCCTTCCTTCCTTCTTTCTTTCTTTCTTTCTTTCTTTCTTTCTTTCTTTCTTTCTTTCTTTCTCTTTCCTTTTTTTTTTCTGCTCATTCTAATTTTCCTGTAGGAAGCAGGATTAACTTGTCCTGGACGCAGCGGGCATTGTTTGCAGAGGATGGTGTCAGAGCATTTAAAGCCCCCAGCCTCACCCCACCCCTGGCTCCACACTCCAAACCCATTTACCTGAAATTTCACTGTGTTGATGCTATTAACAAGCCACACTCCTGGCAGGATGGCATTTTTAAGCCGTATCCTCCAGGTACCCTGTAGTGAAGATGAAATATGTGAGACTAGGCTGTGATAGGAGGAGGGAGAAGGGACTTCGGGCTATTTTGTGGTGGCTTCTACCACCCCCTCCCCAGCTAGGAACCAGCGTGTGAGAAGGATGGGAAGGAAAAACTGGAAAACCGAATGCACGTGTGTCCGGCTGTAAGGACTCATCTGAAGCATCGTCATATGTCACTTAACAACAGGGATACACTGTGAGACATGCATCACTACATGGTTTCGTAGTTGGTGAGCGTCATAGAGTTCACTTACACAAACCTAGATGGTGTAACCTACAACACTCCTGGGCTGTTTGGTACAGCCCATTGCTCCAGGACTACACACCTGCCCAGCATGGGACCACCCTGAATACAGCAGGCGGCTGTAACACAGTGCTATTTGTGTGTCTAAACATATCTCAACATGGAAAAGGTATGGTGAGAAGATGGTGGTCTAATCTTTATGGGACCACCATCATATACATGATCTGTCCTGTGACTGTACGTTAATGTGTCATGTTCTCTCTCTTCTCTGTGGCTGTGCTATTCCCTCTGCCTAGAATGCTTTTCCCTCGCTACCATGTCAACTCATCCTTCCAGACTCAGCCCTCAGGCCCTCTGCAGGCTCTTCTCCCACCCCTCCTCTCTCCGGGAGCTCCCCAGGCTGCGAGTGCTGGGTCTGGGTGTCCCCTGGTTGTCCTGCACTGCCACTGCCTTAGCACTAAGGGCTCTGTATCATTACTTGTTGCTTGGGCAGTAAGAGTTCTGCCATCTCAGGGAGGCATTAGCAACACAATTTGTTTTTCATTTTCTTTCTATCCATTTAAATCCAAATCTGAGTGTGTATTGCACTGGACTGGCAGGAAATTCCACTTCAGTCAGAACTGGGGCTCTGTCCCTTAGGGCCACACAGGAATCTGAGGGGTTCATGTGGTGCTGGGAAAAACTAGGAAAGGACCTCAAATTTGTAGTGCATCAGGGAGGCATTGCTGTCTTATGGTCCTGGCCTGAGAAGTCCCTTGAGACCCAGCAGCCCTCTGTTTCTGTGCTGGACACAGGGCACAGGTCTCTTTGCTGGTGCTGGGCCGCGGTCCCCGGGGGTTAGGCTGCTCTGTGCTGTCTCTGATGCAGTCTTGCCACCTTCATGCTCTGCAGATGTCTGTATCCTGCTCCATGGGAGGCAATGGCAAAGGCTCTCTCCATTCGTCCCCATTTCTCTTCAGTGACTGGAGGCTGCATAAAACAAAGAGATGTTGCCTTCTCGAAACTTCTTTGGGCATTATCAACACCTGCAGGGCAAAGAAACTGTGGAAAGTTCAGACACATTCTCAGCTGGGAAACACCTAGGAAGAACACACACAAATTATTATCTTGACAAATTGTCCTGCTGTGCTTATTTGGATCCCCAAAGGCATTCCCAGGACCTAATTCCTAGTCTGCAATATGTACTTAATGAGGATTTGGATCAAAAGTGAATGCTGACTCTTGGCGGACCCACGACTGCCACTTAGGGTACTGCAGGTCGTTCACTGCACAAATCTGGAGGATCCCACGCAAAAAGATTTGATTATTTACTGAGACAGCTCTCTGGCAGATGTCTTATAAAGCATTTTGGAGATGGGAAACTTTTCTAATTTGTACTAATTAGGTCCTGACTGAGGTCTGTGCCTTTTTCCGTATTTCCCCTTTAAATTCCTTCAATGCATCAAGTGATAAAGTATCAGAAACAAAATATTGAGAAATCAAGATTATTTTTGATAAAAAACTATGGTTTTTTCTTTATTAGTCCACATAAACAACATTCAGAAGATTAAGAAAAATGAGTTGCAGCAAAATAGGAAATCAGGAAAGAAGTAGATTCAGAATGGAGTCATTCCTGCCGAAGGTAGTGTCAAATTCAGTAGGCAAGAGAGTCATTAATGTGATGCCTGCATAGTTTGTGGTTGTTTGTAACTCTGGGTATTTGAAGATATTTATAGGTAACCTGTTCCAAAATATGGTGGGGTTTTTTATGTAGTTACTTTTTATATTTTTAATTAATTAATTTATTTTTTTGAGATGGAGTTTTGCTCTGTCACCCAGGCTGGAGGGCAGTGGTGTGATCTCAGCTCACTGCAACCTCCACCTCCCAGGTTCAAGCTATTCTTCTGCCTCAGCCTCCTGAGTAGCTGGGACTACAGGTGTGCACCACTATGCGAGGCTAATTTTTGTATTTTTAGTAGAGATGGGGTTTCCCTATGTTGGACCAGGCTGATCTTGAACTCCTGACCTCAGGTGATCTGCCCGGCTTGGCCTCCCAAAGTGCTGGGATTACAGGCGTGAGCCACTGCGTCTGGCCTATAGTTTCTTTTTATTAATCTATTTCTTGATGCAATCTGAATCTGTTCCTCTTTATTTTGTCTCAACTAATAATTGGAAGTAAGACTTTCAGGCCAGGTGCGGTGTCTCATGCCTGTAATCCCAGTGCTTTGGGAGGCTGAGGTGGGAGGATCGCTTGAGGCCGGAAGCTCAAGGTTGTAGTGAGCTATGATTGTGCCACTGAGTGTACTCCAGCCTGGGCTACAGAGCAAACCCTATTTCTTTTTTCTTTCTTTCTTTCTTTTTTTGAGATGGAGTCTCACTCTGTCTCCCAGGCTGGAGTGCAGTGGCACTGTGTTGGCTCACTGCAACCTCCGACTCCTGGGCTCAAGCGATTCTCCTCCCTCAGCCTCCTGGGTAGCTGGGATTACAGGCGCCCACCTAATTTTTATTTTTATTTTATTTTATTTTTTAGTAGAGACAGGGTTTTACCATGTTGACCAGGCTGGTCTCGAACTCCTGACCTCAAGTGATCCACCCGCCTTGGCCTTCCAAAGTGCTGGGATTACAGCATGAGCTACCTCACCCAGCCAATCCTATTTCTTAAAAAAAAAAAAAAAAAAAGGAGTAAGGTTTTCTTCAGCCTAAGTAAAATTACTTGCCTCTGTATAGAGACAGTTATCAAAGGACTCATTTGTGGTTTTAAATTAAAGCAAACCCGCTCTATTTGTTTGTTTTTGTTCTTTTTACAGATCATATGGTAAAGGAACCAGTGGAAGACACAGACCCTAGCACTTTATCCTTTAATATGGTAGGTGACAAATTTTACACTAATGGTGATAATTATTGTTTTGCTTTTTTTCTTTGTTATTTCTTTACGTTTTTATTACTCAGTATTTACATGTGCATCAGAAACCCCAAAGTAAGATTTTTCTAAGATAACTGCTTTATCTTGGTATTCTACGTGATAATAATAAACTTTGGGTTTCTCCAGGCTAAAAATGGCGTTAGATTCTTTTCTTCTTTTGCTCATGTTGGAGGTGATATTACATTATGTGAGGGCTTTACCCACTTCCCTGGTTTTTTTTTATTTCATTTTTCATTTTTATTTTTTTTTAGACGGAGTCTTGCTCTCTCACCCAGGCTGGAGTGCAGTGGCGCGATCTCAGCTCACTGCAATCTCTGCCTCCCAGGTTCAAGCGATTCTCCTGCCTCAGCCTCCCAAGTAGCTGGGACCACAGGCATGTGCCACCATGCCTGGCTAATTTTTTTTTTTTTTTGGTAGAGTGGGGGTTTCACCATGTTGGCCAGGCTGGTCTTGAACTCCTAACCTCAGGTGATCTGCCACCCTCGGCCTCCCAAAGTGCTGGGATTACAGATGTGAGCCACCGTACCTGGCCTACTTGCCTGTTTTTAATACTACTGGTCTGGTAATGGAGCAGCCTGGGATGCCAGATGGACACACGCTATTGGATTTACCTCAGTTACAGCGTTTAGTTCTAGCAGCTGCCTTCTGAGCCACATCCTCTCCCCACCCTCCCGTAACCATTCTGAGGCTATTGCTTTAAGGGTATCCAAAGATTTCACATATATTGGTTTTTTAAAATTCATTTTATGGTTTTATTATTATTATCATTTTAATTTCAGATTCCATGGGTACGTATGCAGCTTTGTTACGTGGATGCATAGCATAATGGTTAGGTTTGGGCTTCTCATAAATCCATCACCCACATAGTGAACGCTGTACCTAATAGGTAATTTTTCAACCCTGAGCCCTCCTCCCACCCTCCCCCCTTTTGGAGTCCCTAGTGTCTGTTATTTCCATCTTTATGTCCATGGGTACCCATTCTTTAGCTCCCACTTATAAGTGAGAACATGCAGTATTTGATTTTCTGTTTCTGAGTTATTTCACTTGGGATGATGGCTTCCAGCTGCATCCATGTGGCTGCAAAGGAGAGAATTGTGTTCTTTTTTATGGCTGCCATCATTATTTTTCAACCTCCCAAGATCCTCCCAACCATCCCTTGAGATGGTGGGGCACGTACCCCCATCCTACAGATGCAGAAAGGACAGTTAATGGAAGTGTGCCGCCACCTAGACCGGAGCCCTGTGCTCCTGCCCAGCACTGCTTCTTGCTGAGGGCCAAAGCGGTGCTCTCTGTCAGGCAGCGTGTGTGATGGGCATATTGTGTAGGACACATTCCTTCTGTTCCAGATCCTCAGAGGATGGGATCTACCAACTCATGAAAAGTTTTGGTTAACTGATTTAGTTACAGCGACACAGAATACACTTCATGTAATTCAACTAAATGTCTTTAAATCTTAGGTGTCTTGCGGACCTGAGGTGTTTGTTTTCCTGTCCTTTAATTACCCCTGGCTTGGTAAATTGTAGACAGCGTAGGGGGTCAAGCTTTGATACCCACTGGAAATTCCTATGAAAAATTCTCAGTCTCTTCACTCTGATCAAAATGGAACGAAGAACAACCCTGTGGCCATGGCTTATATGTCTCTGGAGTAGCTTGTTACTAAAGCCTTTGGTTTCTATAAAGTGTTATTCAGTTTGCCTTCTTTCCCTTCCCACTGCCCCCACCTGTGACTCTCCAGTTCTCCCTGGTATCCTGCTTACTTCCTGATACCAGGTTTTCTTTCCCTCCCTTGGAGCTATGTCCTTATGCTCACCTTGGGGCTCAGCTACCTCTAATTACTTCTCCATGCTGGGGACAAAGTGATCTTTCCAAAGTGTCCCTCTTACTAGTTTCTTAGGGCTGTCGCAACAGAATACCACAGACTGGGCAGCTTTCACAATAGAAATGTATTTGCTCCTGGTTCTGGAGGCTGGAAGCTTGAAATCAAGGTGTCCTCAGGGCCATTCTCCCTCTGAGACCCATAGGGAAGAATCTTTCCTTGTCTCTTCTAGCTTGTAGTGGTTGCCAGCCATCGTGGAAACTCCTCAGCTTATAGAGGCATCACTCCGTTCTCTCACTCGTTAGCACATGACCATCTTCTCCCAGGGTGTTTGTGTCTCGTCTCTTCTTCTCCTTCTCCCTCTCCTTCTTCTTTCTTCTTCTTCTTCCTCTTCTTCTTCTTTTTTTTTTTTGAGATGGGGTTTCACTCTTGTCGCCCAGCTGGAGTGCAATATGCAATGGCGTGATCTCGGCTCACTGCAACCTCTGCCTCCCAGGTTCAAGTGATTCTCCTGCCTCAGCCTCCCAAGTAGCTGGGATTACAGGTGCCCACCAACGGGCCTGGCTAATTTTTTTGTATTTTTAGTAGAGACGGGGTTTCACCATGTTAGTCAGGCTGGTCTCGCACTCCTGATCTCAGGTGATCCGCCTGCCTTGGCCTCCCAAAGTGCTGGGATTACAGGCGTGAGCCACCATGCCTGGCCCTCGTCTCTTCTTTTAAAGATACCAATCATATTGGGTCAAGGGCCTACCCTCCTCATAACTTAACTAATTACCTCTACAACTACCCTATTTCCAAATAAAGTCATATTCTGAGGAACTGGGGGTTAGGACTTCAACACATCTGGTTTGGGAGACAGAATTCAACCCACAGTATTCCCGCTGGGTACAGGATTTAGTATATACCCCTTGACATGGGAGATGAGGTCCTCCATGGCCTTACCTCAGCATCCACTGCTCACCTGCTGACCCAGCCCTGTGTAGCTGTGTGGTGCTTCTTAATACGCCATGCCCTCTCACCCTCCCAGGGTAGCAATAATGCTGTTCCCTCTGGCAAGGAAAATCTCCCTGCATCTTTACCTAATGAACTCCTGTGCTTCTTCCCATCTCACTTCAAGTATTCCCCTGATCTACAAAGCCTTACTTGCCTTGGGACTTTCAGGTGCTCCCTTCTCCGTAGCCCAATCCCTATTTGCCATCTCAGAGAATTGTCATTGCCTGCTTGTCTGACTTCTTGCAAGACTGTGTTGACCATCTTCCCTCATGCAAAGTCAGTGCAAGGCAGGTAGCAAGTTTCCCGAGAACCTAGAAGGGCATCCCACCTAAATCCCTTTGCTTATCTTTCTTGGTCTTTCTTAGAAACTGGGTCCGTCATTTCTCATCTAATCCCGCCTTCCTCTGTCCACCTCCAACAGACTCTCTGTTTCAGTTCTATACCCTCCGCTCTTCCAGCCACCTGATCCCTTCTCCTGCCATGCCTGCCACCAGCAACTACTTTGCTGCTTCTTCTGAGTTCATCCAATTCTCAGCCATTCTCTAGGGCTAGCTCCAGCATCGTCTTTCTAGGAGCCCTGAACTTGCTCTGGCTTCTGTGTTCTTCCATGCAGACTTTCAGTGGATGTTTACTTAAAACTATGTTACAATCTGGGAATGCACAGATTGTAATTCCATCTCTGGGAAAACTCAGTCTATCTGAGGAAATAGACAAGTACTGTTTATTTTTATTTATTTATTTATTTTGAGACCAACTCTTGCTCCGTTGCTCAGGCTGGAGTGCGATGGCACGATCTCAGGTCACTGCAACCTCCGCCTCCTGGGGCAATTCTCGTAACTCAGCCTCCTGAGCAGCTGGGATTACAGGCACGGGCCACCATGCCCAGCTAATTTTTGTATTTTTAGTAGAGATGGGGTTTCACCATGTTGGCGAGGCTGGTCTTGAACTTCTGATCTCAGGTGATCTGCCTGCCTCAGCCTCCCAAAGTGCTGGGATTACAGGCGTGAGCCACCGCACCCAGCCTCTTTTTGAAACAGAGTGATAAATGTTCTAGTACAGGTTTGTGTTCCTCGGTCTTGGGAGTAGAATGATGAGAACTAATTTGATCTGGGGTAGAACTGTAGGACTATTCTGTGTGATTAATTTTTATTTACTAATTTATTTTTGTTGGGAGAGGTTGGAGGCTTCTAGAAGTTTTAAAACTTTACTGCCCAGCTCCAAAGAAACTCCCAGGAAAGGCACTTAAAACAAAACCCTCGATTCTCCATTTCTTTCTCTCTCTCCTCTCTTGGAGGAAGACATGGGTGGAGAGCTACAGGAAATTGTTCAGGTGTAATTTTGTTCAGGCTGAAGGACAGGGCTGAGTGGAGTTGGGAGCTGAGCAGGGGTTAGGGGACAGGGTTGGGAAATTAGGCTCCTTTTCATTCCTCTCATGGACGTTTTCAGAAATGGCTACATTGTTTAGTCTGAAATAAGTTTCCGGAACTTTAGATATCGGCATGTAAGTATGAATAAATGAAAAGAAATATATGTGATTGTGAGAACATTTGCTATTTTGAATTCCTGTAACAGTATTACTCTCAACTGATGCATTGAGGAACTGTGCTGAATTCTGCATAATTACTGATTTTTAGATCTTTGTGCAGTCAGTAGGGAAGGGATCTTTTGAATCATCCTGTCTCAGTCGACCCAGGCCAGAGCTCTGCAATAGTGAGTACTGCCCAGAACACATGCTTATTGACCCCAGTGACTATTGCAGAAACGGTGAGAAGAAATGCATCTGTCCTCATAATTCATGACAACAAATGCTCCTCAATTGTAAACTGCAGGAGGCTAGCACTGCAGAAAAGAGAGGAAGTGTAGTTTCGTGGTCCAAGCTGTGGAAATTTGGAAGCCTTATTCTGTTTCATGTTCCAGCATTAACCTCTTGTCAACCTTGATTTCATTCCTGTCGACTGAGAATAAACACAATCAATGGATAAGGCCAGTTGATAAGTTTGAGGTTAAACATTTTCAAGTTTTTAATTGAAGTCATAACTTTCCCAAGACAAAGCTTTCTTTTCACTTTGATCTTACATGGCATTTAAAAATAATTCTCCTCTTTTGTTGGTTTCTACAGTCAGACAAATATCCCATTCAAGATACGGAACTCCCTAAAGGTATGTACAGTTAAAATAACTACTTGAACATGTGATTATTTTAATATTGTGAACAAAGCACTAGTCGACCTAATTTTTCATTATTTAAAATTGTAAAGTAGAAACATGCCCATAGATTAGCTCGTGACTTGTGACATAATTGTCTCAGAAATTAATTTTTTTCTTTTTTAAATAGTATCTTTTAACCTTGCAATAGAAATGAATTTTCTTATTAAAAACTGTAAATTATTCCATAACAAATTATGCGTTAAATTCCTGTGGTGTTTTTAACAGGCATAAAATGAAGACAGCTGGGACTTTGGGTTGCAAAGGGAGAGAAATCTAACACTAATTTGTTTAAAAAGCGGGAACTGGCCAGGCGCGGTGGCTCGCACCTGTAATCCCTGCACTTTGGGAGGCCGAGGCAGGTGGATAGCCTGAGGTATGGTGTGGGCGTGGTGGCAGGCACCTGTAATCCCAGCTACTAAGGAGGCTGAGGCAGGAGAATCGCTTGAACCTGGGAGGCAGAGGTTGCAGTGAGCCAAGATCGCACCACTGCACTCCAGCCTGGGCAACAAACTCCATCTCAAAAAAAAGAAAAAAAAAGTGGGAACTTGCTGACTTTGGGGTCTTTGGGCCCTGCTGCATCCAAGCATCTAAGTGAGGCTGTCAGGCTGAGTCCATCTCATGGCTCTGTCTTCTTCCATGTTGGCTCCATTCTTGGGCAGGATTTCCCCCCGTGGAGGGAAAGATGATTACTAGCGCCTCTTGCTTTAGATGGCGTTCTCAAGGTGGTGGAGGAAGAGGGAGCCTTTCCACCAGCACGGATAGCACAATTTTAGAGATGATTGTGATTGTGGCAGTTCAGGTCATGTGGCCATCCTTAAATCAGCTATTGTCATCAGGAGGATGGAGGACATTGGCCAGGTCTGAGCCTTGAGATCGGGTCGGGGAGGAGGGTCATGGAGTGGATTTTGCCCAAACCACTGTTCTGTGGCTAGACAAAGGGGTGAGGGATGCTTGTTAGGCCCAAAAGCAAACTAAAAAAGCTATCTTTGATAACCCATACACTTATGCTTTAGGCATGGTGCAGACCATAGGGGTGGCTAGACCCTAGCCTTCCATAACCTCTCCTGCTGGGTGGTCAGCAGGGCTATGTTCCTTTTTTATTATTATTATTTTTTGAGACAGAGTTTCACTCTTGTTGCCCAAGCTGGAGTGCAATGGCTCAATCTTGGCTCACTGCAACCTCTGCCTCCCGGGTTCAAGCGATTCTCCTCCCTCAGCCTTCCAAGTAGCTGGGATTACAGGTGCCTGCCACCACACCCGGCTAATTTTGTATTTTTAGTAGAGGCGGGGTTTCACCATGTTGGTCAGGCTGGTCTTGAACTCCTGACCTCAGATGATCCACCTGCCTTGGCCTCCCAAAGAGCTGGGATTACAGGCATGAGCCACCCACTGCACCTGGGCCCTGTGTTCCTTTATGGAGGCCAAGTTGCAGGTTGTCACAGTGGGGCCTCTACCTTGTAGTCTGCTGACAATCCAGAGATGAGGGGTGGGATGGGGTGGAGTTGGGGACAATCAGATCTGACTAGTTTCAGAGATGGCAGGGGCACCTGGCATCCTGGTCACCATGGAGGGGTAGGCCTGCCCAGCACGCACTAACGTGAGTCTCCCCAGCAGTTCTCATGGTAGTGGATAATCGTAGAGAGATCCCCAGGGCCAACCTGTCCAGAGTTTGGCCAAAGCTCTCCTCCTCTTCTCCCCCTACTATTCCAGACCCTTCTCCCTGCTCCCTGAAATGACACCATTAGAGTGTCCTTTCTTTTCTGTCCAAAAAGGCTGTGAGTGGCCTCAGCAAGTGGCTTCAGGTCTCAGGGTCTCTGTTTCCTCCTCAGCACAGCGGGGAGGACAAGGTTACCGTCCACCTCCCAGGGTGCTGGTGAGAATTCAGTGAAATAAATCGAGAATGGTGCCTGGCACTTGTGAACACCAGACAGGGGTGCAGGGAAATCCAGCCGAAGAAGTGTGAAAAATCAAGCTTAAAATCAAGCCTTCAGTCAGAATGGCAAAGTGAAACTGTCTTAGAAAAAGACGGAGCTGTAATGGCCCTAGCATTGAATGTCGTGGTGCCATCAGGCTCAATATCTTTTTTTGTCACTCTTAAGTGTGATTTCCTGTTTTGAAAGAAAAAGATTGTTGCTTAGCAACCTGATACTACAGTAATTGTATTATCAGATTTCTCCTAGAATTTGAGTTCTACAAAAATCTTAATGAATTTATAAGTAACGTGAATGTGAAAACCATACCCTAGGTCTTCCCTTTGTCCTTATTCATGCTGAATAGTATTTTTTTCTTAGATCAAGGAACAGATTGGAGTGAACATTATTATTAAGTGCATAATTTCTTATCTCCAAATGAATACATCATTTTATATGTAAATGAACCATGTCTAGAAGTTTAAAAACTTACTCCTACATTTGCGCTCAACAATATAACAACTTGATGTCTGCTAGCATTTTTCTTTGATGTCACTAGTGGGACCAATACTATCATTAGACATTGTGGTAATTTTCTCATTAAAGTTGTTTATGGCCGGGTGCCATGGCTCACACTTGACTCCAGGAGTTCAAGACCAGCCTGGGCAACATGGCGAAACCCCATCTCTACAAAAATATATAAAAAATTAGCTGGGCGTGGTGACATGTGCCTGTAATCCCAGCTACCAGGGAAGCTGGGGTGGGAGGATCACCTGAGCCTGGGAGGTTGAGGCTGCAGTGAGGCATGAACTTCCTGGGCTACACCCCAGCCTGGGTAACAGAATGAGACCCTGTCTCAAAAATAAATAAATAAATAAATAAATAAATAAGTTGTTTTCAGGGAAAGAAAAATCCACGTGAATTAACGAAGAGACTGATTTATAGACTTAAAAGCAATTGTAATTTAATTCTATAAAGGAAAGACTAGGACGCCAACGTTTAAGTGAGTTTTAAGGAGGCCAGCTTTATTTACTAGAAGCATCATTTGTAATTAGCGTTAAGAGTTTCACAAAATCTCTTACATACTGCTAACATATTCCTACTTCATTCACAGAGAGTATAAACCTTTAACAGTGGCCAGAATAGATTGGTTTTGAATAATGTGGTTTTAATAATCAGCTGTGGAAATCTAGTGTAATTTCATTTGTCAGCATCTGTTTTTGAGGTGAAATGTGTTGATATAAATTATATCTGTTTTCTCATAGGGCATAAATGCAGAACTTCCACCTCAAGCAGCCACCCCCTGATTTTACAGTTTTTGGGGGTTCATTTGGTTTGGGGCTCTTTTCTGATGGCTGTTCTGTGAGTCTGCGGGTACTAAGAACTGGTGAGATTGAGGTTTATTTTCCATCACGTGATTCCCAGTATCTCGCAGAAGCTGCTGCTTGATTGTTCTGAAGAAAATGTGACTGTTCACATTTTCGAGAGAAAAATGTGTTTGGAAAAGGAATTTTGATTTTTGAGCCACTATTTGTAATGGAAGAAAATTACACTTAAATACACGAATCTAACAAGATTTTATCATCTTCATTTTCTCTCGTGTCCCTGCTCTTTTCTTTGATTATTCAAAAAAATGTTATAGTGTATTTAGAAGTTAAAGAGAAGTAAGGTAGACTTTTTTTTTTTCTCTTCTTTTCTTTTTTTCTTTTTTTTTGAGACGGATTCTCGCTCTGTCGCCCAGGCTGGAGTGCAGTGGTGCGATCTCGGCTCACTGCAAGCTCTGCCTCCCAAGTTCACGCCATTCTCCTGCCTCAGCCTCCCGAATAGCTGGGACTATAGGCGCCCACCACCACGCCCAGCTAATTTTTTGTATTTTTAGTAAAGACGGGGTTTCACCGTGTTAGCCAGGATGGTCTCGATCTCCTGACTTCATGATCCACCTGCCTCGGCCTCCCAAAGTGCTGGGATTACAGGCGTGAGCCACCGCGCCCGGCCTCTTTTCTTTTTTTCTGAGTCTTGCTCTGTCACCCAGGCTAGAGTGCAGTGGCATGATCTCGACTCACTGCAACCTTTGCCTCCCAGGCTCAAGCAATTCTCTCACTTCAGCCTCCTGAGTAGCTGGGACTACAGGCGACCACCACCACACCCAGCTAATTTTTGTATTTTTAGTAGAAATGGGGTTTCACCATGTTGGCCAGGCTGGTCTCGAACTCCTGACCTCAAGCGATCCATCCACCTCGGCCTCCTAAAGTGTTGGGATTACAGGCGTGAGCCACCGCACCCAGCCAAAGTAAGGTAGACTAATGCTACCCTTAAGAAGTCTGAGGAACTTGAACTTAAATATAGATGCTGTTTGGGGGTGCCTTTTAGAACAACGTGTTAATTAAATGTAGAAGTAGTTCAGTTTGAACACGTGAAGAGAAAACAAACAAGTACTAGGAAATCACTAAATAATTCAAAAGTAGAAAGGTCTGTCCTAAAACTAGGAAGCCAATATGTTGTATTTGATATGATTTCCTACCTCACGGATTGATAATGATGCCATGTGAAGAGTTGTCCCTGTTCCCACGGGAAACTCCTCATCCTCCCACCTGTGTGGTTTGCTCTGTGTTCTCATCCCGCTTGTTCAATAAATACACTCCCCGCCCCCGCTCCCCAAGCCTTGACAGAGACCCTCTTGGGAATCTTCTGTTACAGTAAACTAAAAACCAACCTGCCCTCCCCTCCCAGTCATGGCAAGAATACAATGGTAACAACTCTCCAAAACATTTTTTAATCTTTTGTGCATAAGAGGATAGAGGGGACGGAGAGGACTATGACCATGGGAGCATTTGGAAAGCCACCTGAGAAAAGTCGCTGTTAAATTCAAGTTCTTTGCCAGTGTTTCAAGAGGCCGAGGCAGGAGGACCACTTGAGACTAGGAGTTTCAGACCAGCCTGAGCAACATAGTGAGACTCCTATCGCTCCAAAAAGAAAAAAAAAGTTAATTAGCTGAGTGTAGTGGTGCACACCTGTAGTCCCAGCTACGTGGGAGGCTTAGGCTGGAGGATCGTTTGAGCCTGGGAGTTCGAGGCTGCAGTGAGCTATAGCTATAATTGCACCACTGCACTACAGCTTGGGCAACAGTGAGCCCCCATCTCAACAAAAACAAAACTAAAACAAAACAAAAAACTCAACTTCTCGTAGTGGGAAAAAAGCACTTTAAAGAAATCTGGGTTAATAATTTTGACATTGTGGGGATGACTGTGATTGAAGTCACACACCTATTACGTTGGGCTGTGACGAATGACACTTCAGTGTGCATCAGAATGTGGGGATGCTTGTCAACAACGCAGACTTCTGGGCCCCTGGAGATTCCAACTAAGGCGGTCTGGGGGAGAGCTCAGCACTCTGACTGACAGGCAGGAGAGCTGAGAGCGAGGCAAGCCTGGGTCAGATGGTGACCGCTCTAGCTGTAAAAAGATAACATACACAGCCTCAGGCAAAGACCACACTTTTAGCTTCAGTTTCCCAGATAATACTATTATGAAAAGAAAGTCTTTTATTCCAGTCAGAATTGTGTGTGAGACAATGAATATACATGGTCCCTTATTTGAACCAATCTAGCAGCTCAGCGCATAATAGGTGAATGAATGCTAATGCATGGACGGTGACTCGCGCCTGTAATCCCAGCATTTTGGGAGGCCAAGGCGGGTGGATTACTCGAGGCCAGGAGTTCCAGACCAGCCTGGTCAACATGGCGATACCCCGTCTCTACTAAAAATACAAAAATAGAATTAGTCAGGTGTGGTGGTGGCACGCACCTGTAATCCCAGATACTGGAGTGGCTGAGGCACGAGAATCGCTTGAACCTGGGAGGCAGAGATTGCAGAGAGCTGAGATCATGCCACTGCACTCCACCCTGGACAACAAAGTGAGACTTTGTTTCAAAATAAATAAATACATAAAATAAAAAGACTGCTAATGAAGGTAAAAATCAAATGGCTTAATCAATCAATCCCTCACTTCATCCTGACTTTTCAACCCTGAGTTAAATGGTTCTGTATTTAAGGCTAAATAACTTTAAACATTTACATGGTGCTAAAATTTCTGTTATAATATATTTCTGCCAACCTTAAAGTTTAGAGTATGGCCTTGAATTCTGTGACTAAAGATTAGAATCTGATGGAACAAAATCAGTTTTTAAGCTATTTTGTACCATCTTCACCACAGGTGGGAAAACTGTGAAGTTAACACAACTTTGGAATGGAAGTTGCTTCCTAGCAATTCATATGGAAAGATGTTAAATGTTTAACATGAATTTCAAGTTCCTTTGCTTTTCACTGGCAACCTGAACTTGAACAAGAGAACCAAAATGGTTTAGGTTTGACCTTTAGGAGGGTGAGCTGTTGGGACAAGTATAATCCCACTCTCTACTGTCTGAAAGGCTTAGTAAAATGACAGACGAATGAACACACTGGAATTTGATATCACGTTGTTAATCAGGGGAGAATTTTTTTTTTGAGATGGAGTCTCGCTCTGTCACCTAGGCTGGAGTGCAGTGGCACGGTCTCGGCTCACTGCACTCCTGAGTTCAAGCAATTCTCCTGCCTCAGCCTCCTGAGTAGCTGAGATTACAGGCACCCGCCACCACACCAAGTTAATTTTTGTATTTCTAGTAGAGATGTGGTTTCACCATGTTGGCCAGGCTGGTCTCGAAGTCCTGACCTCAGGTGATCCACCTGTCTCGGCCTCCCAAAGTGCTGGGATTACAGGTGTGAGCCACTGTGCCCTGCCAGGAGAATGTGTTTTGATTGTCTCCTCTTCACCCTGTTGGTGAGGGAGGGATTCCATCTTAGGGTTACAGGGATGGCCAAACACATGACACTCAACACTTAACAGATGAGATCGACAGGAATTTATGAGTCATGTATACTCAGTCCAGGAGGGGAGGACACTGTGCGTCATGCAGGGCCACATGGAGGTTGCACTTAGGAGCAGAGCAAACAACAAGGGGCTGTCAGACAGGCTTTATGGTATTAAGCAAGTGGGGTGCCTCCTGGTTGTCAGGATGTGATTGGCTTGTTTGAGTTAAGTCCATGGAATCAGGGGAAATGAAGCCCATTACAAAAAGAGAACAAGGACTGTGCGTGGTCCCCTTGGTAAGGGGCGTTGTTTGGCTAGGGGACTTTGGCCATGGGAGCAGAGTGGGAAGGAGACTTGTGGTTAGGCCATTCAAGACCTTCCCAGTTCTTTTTTTTTTTTTTTTTTTTTTTTTTGAGACAGAGTCTCACTCTGTCGCCCAGGCTGGGGTGCAGTGGCTCAATCTCGGCTCACTGCAACCTCTGCCTCCCAAGTTCAAGCCATTCTCCTGCCGCAGCCTCCTGTGTAGCTGGGATTACAGATGCCCGCCACCACGCCTGGCTAAGTTTTGTATTTTTAGTAAAGATGGGGTTTCACCATGTTAACCTAACCTCTAACTGGTCTCTAACTCCTGACCTCAGGTGATCTACCCGCATTGGCCTCCCAAAGTGCTGGGATTACAGGTGTGAGCCCTTCCCAGTTCTACCAATGTCAAGGCAGCACATAAATTGAGTCTCAATGTTAGGTCTTATACAACAGTTCACCCCTAGATGCCATGGCATAAATTTAAACCTTAATGATGGCTGAGACTTCTAGGGAATAGAAGTGCCCCACTAAGAAGCAAGGAAGGCACTTGACCAGGAGGGAGAGGGCCACATGGTGAGATGGTCATCAAAAACAGGAACTTTAGAGGTGTCCCCCTGATGGCCAGTAAAGGCAGTTGAGGAACCCGTGTGGCATTGGTGTAGGGAGTACATGTCTCCAGAGGTTGTGGATTTAGATTCATTAAGGCCTGTGACAATAGTGACACCCAGTAACTTACATAGGAGTTTCTTGAAGATTTCATTATGCCTCTCAATCGAACCTGCTGCCTGATATGAGAGGGGAGGTGGAAGTTTCATTGAATGGCTTAAGAGCCTGGCGTTGTATGTTCTTAGAAGAGAAATGAGTGTCTTGCTCACTGTCAGTAATAAGTGGGACTCCAAAGGAGACTGGAAATGTTCTGCTGAAGCCTTGTATGGTGGCCTTGCTGTACATAGAGACATCTGTTTCTTTATTTATAGTTTGGGTGTATTTGAGGCAAGAGATTCTGAGAGTTCTTTACCACAAAGGGTGCAACTCTTAGGCAATGGTCCAAAAATTTATAAAAACTGTGCAGATGGGGCGATTTGTTGGCCAGGACATCCAGCAATAAGATGACTGCCTGAAGTTTGGCCAGTTTTGCTAATCTTGGGTCCTTCCTTTATCAGGGATATCCTGGTTAAGGGATGGAAAGCAGCAACTGTCTGCTGAGCTTCATCGTGTATGATGGGGGTGATGTCATCTGTAAAGTCTACAAATTCCCATTGCTCTTCACTCAGTTGCTTTGAAGGGGCTCCCCAGATAACCTAGGAGTCTGCAAGAGGGGTGACTTTTTCCAGCACTATGGGCTCTGGTGAGGGATGGGGGAAGCCACCCCTTCCTGCAGATGGAACATGCCAGAGTGCCCGGGTTTAGCTCCATCCTGTATCAAGGAGGCCTTGGTAACCATGCGGAGCTTCCAGGATTTTGCTTCCATGACCCAAGGCATAATGGACAGCGCAGTATGGAGGGTCACAGCTAGTGTTTAATGACAGCCTCTATTTCCAAGAGAGCCCAGTATGCAGCTAGCAGTTGCTGCTCTAATAATGTGTAGAACAGGGCCTGGGAGGGCAGTTTCTTGCATCAAAAGCCTGTGGACAACTTTCAGCTATCGTGGGTGGTCCAGAGACTTCAGGAGGAATGAGAGGAGGTTGCTGAAGCTCCAGAAATCTCTGGGGGTCCTAGTGGGACTGCCTGTTGTAGACTTTTATTGGAGGGGCCCAAATTTACATTGAGCTGACTTGCAAGTACTGGCATCAATGAGATTAAATTTGTAAATGAGAAATATGTTGCCACCAGAACCCAAAAAAGAGCTAAAAATATACTAGACTTGTATTCACATTGTGGGTGCAGAGAGGGTCAATAGCTATTTATTGACAGTGTCTGGGTGGGAGCAGCCCTTAGTTTACCAAGTAATTTTTAGGAATTTCACCAAGGTGGCAGGGCCTTGCGCTATGTGTGGGGCAGTGGCCCATCTCTTTCCGTGAGCATTGTTGTGAGTACTGTATTCCGTGGCCTGCATGAAAATGTCAAGTGAGAATGTCCTCAGAGGAGGATCTCATCCATGTAATGTCATCACACTCATGAGACTGAGAAAGTAGGATGCAGTTAGATCTTGCCTGCAAAGCCTGTGTGTGATGACCAGGCTCTTGAAATGCCCCATGGGTGCCTTGTAAAGATATATCATGTCCGTTTGCAGATGAAGGCAAACTTTGATTGAGAGACTATTGAGATAGTCACTGAACAGAACATATTAGGCAAATCTGTAATAGCAAAATATTTTCTAGTCACTAATTGGATGGAGTCAGTGTTTTCCAATCATTTTAGGCATGGGGTATGGAAGCCTTAAGGGATGAGACCACAGCAGTAAAAGTGTAGTAATCTGGCTAGATGCGGTGGCTCACACCTGTAATCCCAGCACTTTGCGAGGCCGAGGTGGGCAGATCACTTGAGGTCAGGAGCTCAAAACCAGCTGGGACAACATGGTGAAACCCTGTCTCTACTAAAAATACAAAAATTAGCCGGGCGTGGTGGTCGGCACCTGTAATCCTAGCTTCTTGGGAGTCTAGGGTAGGAGAATCACTCAAACCTGGGAAATGGAGGTTGCAGTGAGCTGAGATCGCACCACTGCACTCCAGCCTGGGTGACAGAACAAGACTCCGTCTCAAAAAATAAATAAATAAAATAAAATTGTAGTAATCCACTGTGAAGCATCTTTTTTTTTTTTTTTTTTTTTTTTGGAACAGGACGTTGCTCTGTCACTCAGGGCTGGGGTGCGGTGGTGTGATCATGGGTCACTGCAGCCTTGACCTCTGGGAGCCAAGTGATCCTCCCACCTCAGCCTCCCAAATAGCTGGGACGATAGGCATGTGACACCATGCCCAGCTAATTTTTAAACTTTTTGTAGAGATAGGGTCTTACTGTGTTGCCTGGGCTGATTTTGAACTCTGGGCCCTCAAGCAACCCTCCCATCTTGGCCTCCCAAAGTGCTGGGATTACAGGTGTGAGCCACCACACCCAACCTGTCTTCTCCTTTGTGTCCAGGTTTCTTTTTATCTTTCTTTCATTCCCTTTTTATGGTCACTGGATATACTTTTGGCAGGGGCAGTCTTCTCTACTCTGCTCATATTGATAAATTTCTTCCCCCAGAGAACCTCAAATCAGTATCATCAGGGGTGGGGCCTTCCCTGTGGCAGTGGTTGCTCTCATATAGTTTAAAAACTGTGGGCTTGTGTCAGGGTGAATTAACCCTTTTACTGTGCCCCGGGGCTACTAGGAGTTTTCCCTACAACTCTGAGGATCAGGATCTTTGCTGCAACAGGGGCATAAGCTGCAGCGTGGTCCAGCCCAATGGAAGAGTGCTGGCCTATAACCCAGAGGTGGAGGGACTCTGCTACAACTTTGTCTTTTCTGCCATGAGGGTTTTCCTTAATTAATTAACTAATTTGTTTATGGATTTTTTCCTGTCTTGTACAAATGCCCTCAGAATATTTTGGATTTCTAGCCACATAAAGTTGTGGCTTTCAGTTTTTGTCTCCATATGTCCCAAGGGACCTTCTGGGAGGTTACGAGCAAAGTGTTGGGAGCCAGGTGGCCCCCGTCGCAGGCAGCCACCTCTTCCTCCAGGGAATACCAGTCGGTCTCCCTGGGGATGGGGTCCTCATCCAGCCAGGTGGTTTTGTCTGTGGCCCAAGTGGGGACATTAAACCCACTATGGCAAGATGAGCTCTTTGGCGTGTTGGAAGCAGCAGCGCTAAGCACAGCTGGGTGCGCTCGCCAGGGGCTCTGTGCCGAGAGAGCAGTTGAGTACCAAATGCTTTTTCCCGTTTTCTTTCTTCATTAGCACCTGGGCCACAGACTGCCATGGCTGTGTACCTCGATGCCCCTGGGGGTCAGGAGAACACATGGGCAGCAGCAAGGGAAGCAGCAGCTGAGGGGATGGGCAGGGTCACTGCCTTTGCCTTAGCAGCAACCAGGGCACCAGGGAAACTCCCCTGGGGAACTCCCTGGTCTCTCTCCTTCCTTTCTGCAAACCTCTGTCTGCAAAGGACCGCCCCCGTGGCTGACCTGGGGATGCACTTCACAAACAGTGCCTGTACAGCTGCCCCAAGTGGCCAGTGATGGTCACCAAGCTAGTTGTATTGCTAAGAGAGCTTGCACCTGTCCCTTGATAAGTGGGACTTAAGCAGCAACCGGTTAGGGGGATGTGCTACCACCGTCTTTACAGATGGGAGCCTCAAGAGACCACCTGCCAAACACAGGCCCAAACTGACAGCTCTGGGGTCCAGTCAGTTCACAACAGTTTTCATCTTGGGATGAGATACCAAACAATCAACAAAGACAACACAGCATTGCATAGGCCAGAGTGCAAATCTTCCAGTAATTGTCAATTCTATCCCAGGCAGCCTGCGTGGTATTAGTGAAGTTGGTTAGCCGAGAGCAGTTAATGAAATCTGACCAAATGTCCTTGATTGTGGTTGGGTCATCCTGTTCATTATGCCAGTTGTTTCTTTTCTTTTATTTTTCTTATCTTTTTTTTTTATTTTTTTATTTTTGGAGACAGGGTCTCACTCTGTCCCCCAGGCTGGAGTGCAGTGGCATGATCGATCAGAGCTCACTGCAGCCTTGAACTCCTGGGCTCAAGTGATCCTCCTCTCTCAGCCTCCCAAGTAGCTGGGACTACAGGCACACACCAGCATGCCTGGCTAATTTTTAAGTTTTTTGAGACTGGGTCTCACTGGGTTGCCCAGGCTGCTCTTAAACTCCTGCCTCAAGTGCTCCTCCTGCCTCAGCCTCCTGAATAGCTGTCATTACAGGCGTGAGCCACCACTCCTGGCTATCATGCCAGTTGTTTTGATCACCTTCTCCTCACCCCTGCTCTAGGATTATGGGGATGGACAAACACACACATCCAACACTGGAGAGACAAGATCAGCAGCAGTTTATGAGTCACATATATGCACAGCCCAGGGGAGGAGGACACTGCCCATCACACAGAGCCACGCAGGGGGACACAGATGTTGTACTTGAGAGCAGAGCAAAAAACCATGGGCTGTGTGAGACAAACATTGTGGCATCAAAAGGGTAGGCTGCCTTCTGGTTCCCATGTGAGTTCGTGATCAGCCTGTTTGAATAATTCCACATGTTGGTAGGAAACTGAAACCCACTACCCAAAAAATAAGCAGGGGGCAGTCACAGTGGCTCACACTAGTAATCCCAACACTTTGGGAGGCCAAGGCAGGAGAATCACTTGAGGCCAGGAGTTCAAAACCAGCATGGACAACACAGTGAGGCCCTATATCTTACTTAGCTTGGTGTGGTGGCACATGCCTATCTTCCCAGATACTTGGGAGGCTGAGGTGGGAGGATCACATGAGCCTAGGAGTTCCAAGTTACTGTGAGATGCACTCCAGCCTGGATGACAGAGTGAGACCCTCTGTCTCTTATTTTTATTTTTTTGAGACGGAGTTTTGCTCTTGTTCTCCAGGCTGGAGTGCAATGGCGTGGTCTCAGCTCACTGCAAACTTTGTCTCCTGAGTTCAAGTGATTCTCCTGCCTCAGCCTCCAGAGTAGCTAGGATTACAGGCATGCGCTACCACTCTTGGCTAATTTTGTATTTTTAGTAGAGACGGGGGTTTCTCCATGTTGGTCAGGCTGGTCCCAAGCTCCCAACCTCAGGTGATCCGCCTGCCCCTGTCTCTTATTTTAAAAAAATAAATAAAAAATAAGCAGGAATTGTGCCTAATCTCTTGATAAGCAGCATTGTTTAGCTGGGGGATCTTATCCTTAAGAGCAGAGTTTGGAGAGGAATTTGTAGTCCAGCCCTTCTGATTTTACCAGATGCCAAGGCAGCATGTGACACTGAACCTTAATTTTAGGTCTTACACCACGGAGTGTGTGCTTTTTAAAATCACACTTTGTTTCTTTCTTTCTTTCTTTTTTTTTTTCCTAGCTGAAGAATGTGATACAATTACTTTGAACTGCCCACGAAATTCAGATATGAAAAATCAGGTAAGAATAATTTCAACTATATTTTACCCTTAGGTACATGATAATCCACCTAAAATTTTTTGAGATTTATAGAGTTTTACAAATAAAAAATGAAAAACAGGATTTCTAGATCATAAACAGGGTTTGCAAATGGTCTCTAAGCATCCCAGTAAGGTAGCATATCTTTAGAACTTTTTTACTTCTAATAAATATTATAGCTTTCATTCATTCTTTGAAATACTCTTCTACATGCCAACAACAGAAAATCAATGCTGGTGAGTTAGAAAGGAGAGTTGTTTTCTTTCTAATGCAGTTGGCACTCTGTGGATGAGCAAATTCTTTAAGGCACAACAAAACTAGATACTCTAATATAATACTTGTAATGCTTTATTAAACTTTAATTTTTTTAGATATCAGAAGTCAAACTTTAACATATTATTTCTATTATCTTTTTCCAAAAAGGAAATATGTTTATTGTTTTATGATTATAAAAGAATTCATATTTTTTAATTGTAATTTTTTTAATTTATTTATTTTATTTTATTTTATTTTTTTAGTATTTATTGATCATTCTTGGGTGTTTCACAGAGAGGGGGATTTGGCAGGGTCATAGGACAATAGTGGAGGGAAGGTCAGCAGATAAACAAGTGAACAAAGGTCTCTGGTTTTCCTAGGCAGAGGGCCCTGCCGCCTTCTGCAGTGTTTGTGTCCCTGGGTACTTGAGATTAGGGAGTGGTGATGACTCTTAAGGAGCATGCTGCCTTCAAGCATCTGTTTAACAAAGCACATCTTGCACCGCCCTTAATCCAATTAACCCTGAGTGGACACAGCACATGTTTCAGAGAGCACAGGGTTGGGGGCAAAGTTATAGATTAACAGCATCCCAAGGCAGAAGAATTTTTCTTAGTACAGAACAAAATGGAGTCTCCTATGTCTACTTCTTTCCACACAGACGCAGTAACAATCCGATCTCTCTTTCTTTTCCCCACACTTCACCCCTTTCTATTCGACAAAACCGCCATCGTCATCATGGCCTGTTCTCAATGAGCTGTTGGGTACACCGCCCAGACGGGGTGGCGGCCGGGCAGAGGGGCTCCTCACTTCTCAGATGGGGCGGCCAGTCAGAGACACTCCTCACTTCCCAGACTGGGCTGCCGGGCAGAGGCGCTCCCCACATCCCAGACATGGGCGGCCGGGCGGAGACGCTCCTCACTTCCTAGACGGGATGGCGGCCGGGAAGAGGCGCTCCTCACTTCCCAGACTGGGCTGCCGGGCAGAGACGCTCCTCACTTCCCAGACGGGGTGGCGGCCGGGCAGAGGCTGCAATCTCGGCACTTTGGGAGGCCAAGGCAGGCGGCTGGGAGGTGGAGGTTGTAGCGAGCGGAGATCACGCCACTGCACTCCAGCCTGGGCAACATTGAGCACTGAGTGAGCGAGACTCTGTCTGCAATCCCGGCGCCTCGGGAGGCCGAGGCTGGCAGATCACTCGCGGTCAGGAGCTGGAGACACGCCCGGCCAACAGGGCGAAACCCCGTCTCCACCAAAAAAATACGAAAACCAGTCAGGCGTTGCGACGCGCGCCTGCAATCCCAGGCACTCGGCAGGCTGAGGCAGGAGAATCAGGCAGGGAGGTTGCAGTGAGTCGAGATGGCATCGGTACAGTCCAGCCTCGGCTGGGCATCAGAGGGAGACCGTGCAAAGGGGAGAGGCGGCAGTACAGTCCAGCCTCGGCTCGGCATCAGAGGGAGACTGTGCAGAGGGAGAGGGAGCGGGAGCGGGAGAGGGAGAGATTTTTTTTTTTTTTTTTTTGAGGCAGTCTCACTCTGGAGTGCAGTGGTGCGATCTCGGCTCACTGTAACCTCTGCCTCCTGGGTTCAAGAGATTCTCATGCCTCAGCCTCCTGAGTAGCTGAGATCACAGGTGCGCGCCACCATGCCCGGCTACTTTATTTATTTATTTATTTTTTTAGACAGAGTCTCGCTCTGTCACCCAGGCTGGAGTGCAGTGGTGCGATCTCGGCTCACTGCAAGCTCCACCTCCCAGGTTCACGCCATTCTCCTGCCTCAGTCTCCCGAGTAGCTGGGACTACAGGCGCCCGCCACCATGACCCGCTAATTTTTTTTTTTTGAATTTTTAGTAGAGACGGGGTTTTGCCATGTTGGCCAGGCTAGTCTCGAACTCTTGGCCTCAAGTGATCTGTCCACCTAGGCCTCCCAAAGTGCTGGTATTACAGGCTTGAGCCACTGCACCTGGCCAGAATGTTCATTATTTTAAAGTTCAAGTTGTGCAAAAAAGTACACACAGAAAGTTAAGAATTGCCTGTCATTCCACTGTTCCACCTTTTGATATACATCTTTCTGGGGACTTCCTTGGTCAGTTACTTCTTGTACTGTCCAAGCCACCTCTGTTCTCTCTCCCAAAGCTCATTAGCAGAGTTGCTTAACTATATTTACAGCATTCAGTATCTCAAAGGCATGTTTTGCCTCAAATAGGCTGATTCAATTCTGCTCCTTCTATATATAACATCAAGTTAATTTGTAACAAGTTTTGCCTAGTCTTGCTTTAAAACATCACTCTGTAATAAAGTCTTTAATAGTAACATTGCTGGGTAGTCAAATCACCTCTGTAAGAAAGAGAAGTTACACAATAGTTGATAAAATAAGCAGTTTAAATTAAAACACATAACTGTCTTGAAAATGGTCAGTGGTGCTAGTTTTAACTTTGTTTTGGGGAATTTTCAACCATTAATTGTGAATATCAGACTTCACTCTTTACTCCTGATACTCAACATTTTCCTTGAAATTATAATCTAATAATGGGCTTCTGTGCTTACTGAATTTAAACTAGTTTAGTAAACTGAAAGTATAAATTTGTTCTTCTCATAATCCTAATTTTTAAACAAAATTTTGCTCCTCACATTTTTTTGGTAACATGTAGACTTCCTTGAAGATAAAAGAATGCTAAGTTTTTCATGTAGTTTACTTTTAGGGATTTTCCAAAACCACTTAAGATGAGGTACAGAATATATGTTAGCACACTGTTCAGCATTTTTCCTAATTTCAGTGTTATAATTTTGGCTATATCAAGTAAATACTATCCTAAAAGGTGAAAATATATTTATCAACTAAAAAAATAGGGGAAATACCTCTTTGAGATTTTTAAAGTTCTATTTTAAAACAAAATGTCTTCTTCTCCTATAAAAAGTAGTACTATAGGCAGCTGGCTGCTTCCGTTGACTATTTCTTTGTATAATCTATAGGATTTGTTTTAACTGCTAGATACTCAGAAGGATTCTTTGAAATGAACTTGGCAGTTAGAACAAAGAAAATTCACCAGGGAGAAACGTTTAAAAGAAGAAAACAACACACACTCCATTCTATAGTTCAGACATTAAAAGCAAGCTGGAGGCCGAGCTCGGTGGCTCACGCCTATAATCCCAACACTTTGTGGGGCTGAGGCAGGTGGATCACGAGGTCAGGAGTTTAAGACCAGCCTGGCCAAGATGGTGAAACCCCGTCTCTACTAAAACTACAATAATTAGCAGGGTGCAGTGGCAGGCGCCTGTAATCCCAACTACTTGGGAGGCTGAGGCAGGAGAATTGCTTGAACCAGCAGGTGGAGGTTGCAGTGAGCTGAGATTGTGCCACTGCACTCCAGCCTAGGTGACAGAGTGAGACCCTGTCTTAAAATAAATAAATAAATAAATAAAATAAAAGCAAGCTGGAAGTATGTTCTTTAGAATAATTATTATCTGCCTTTTTAGTGATTTTTATAATTTAAGACTAAAATCTGCTTCTACTAAGGATTTATTTGAGCTTCCTTTTTCGAGTGATGCCGAGGAAAAACATCATAGTGTCCTAGTGTCAAAAATTAAAGTCTAAGCCAGGCATGCTTGTGGTCCCAGCTACTCAGGAGGCTGAGGTGGGAGGATCGCTTGAGAACTGGAGTTTGAGGCTAGTCTGGCAACATAGCAAGACCTGTCTCTTAAACAAAACAAAACATTAAGGTCTGACATTTCAAGTGCAATTTCAGAAAGAACCCTTTACTTTTAGTTATTTAAAATCAATACCCCATCTACTAGAACTATTCAACTTCTACAACTTATTACAACTGGTATTTATTGAGGATATACTCTAAGACCAATCTGAACTGGGTATTCTTGGACATAAAAAATACAGGAGGAGGAGGTGGAAGTTAAGACCCCAGGCAGGGCCGGGCGCGGTGGCTCACGCCTGTAATCCCAGCACTTTGGGAGGCCGAGGCGGGTGGATCATGAGGTCAGGAGATCGAGACCATCCTGGCTAACAAGGTGAAACCCCGTCTCTACTAAAAATACAAAAAATTAGCCGGGCGCGGTGGCGGGCGCCTGTAGTCCCAGCTACTCGGGAGGCTGAGGCAGGAGAATGGCGTGAACCCGGGAAGCGGAGCTTGCAGTGAGCCGAGATTGCGCCACTGCAGTCCGCAGTCCGACCTGGGCGACAGAGCGAGACTCCGTCTCAAAAAAAAAAAAAAAAAAAAAAAAAGACCCCAGGCAGACCTTATAGACTTGTTGGAGAGGCAGTGCACACAGTTTGATTCTCGGATGTGTGTAAGGCTCAGATGTGTAAACAATTTCCATGATACTTTAAGGAAAACATTTCCTAGGACCTTTATCAATCAATAAAGTTTTAATTACTTTAACGACATGCATAAGCATATGGCAAATGAAGATAAAGCAAAAATTTGTTCCAGCTGGGTACGGAGGCTCACACCTGTAATCCCAGCACTTTGGGAGGCCAAGGTCAGCAAAACCTGAACTCTACAAAAAATACAAAAATTAACCACACCTGTGGTCCCATGGTCCCAGCTGCTCAGGAGGCTGAGGTGAGAGGATCGCTTAAACCTGGGAAGCAGAGGTTGCAGGGAATGGAAATCGTGCCACTGCACTTCAGCCTGGGAGATAGAGCCAGACCCTGCCACCAAAAGAAAAAAAAAAAAATTGGGTTCCAGTTTGTAGCCAAGAATCCATGCCAAGAGGAGTCTAAGGTAATACAATAAAAATAAGAAAAATAATAAATATTAGGATACTAAGTTGGAGTTAGAAGTTATGAAAATAATGACATTGTCTTCTATGTTGTTTATTTGGATTACAAAACAAGTTTTTTTAGTTTTAGAAACTACATTAAGAAACTGCAGACCAACTCGGTGGCTCATGCCTGTAATCCCAGCACTTTGGGAGGCCGAAGTGGGCAGATCACCTGAGATCAGGAATTCTAGACCAGCCTGGCCAACACAGTGAAACCCCGTCCCTACTAAAAATACAAAAATTAGCTGGGCATGGTGGTGGGTGCCTGTAATCCCAGCTATCTGGGAGGCTAAGGCAGGAGAATTGCTTGAACTCAGGAGAGGAAGGTTCCAGTGAGCCGAGATCATGCTCAGCTTGAGCCTGGGAGGCTGTGGCTGCAGTGAGCTGTGACTGTGCTGCTGCACTCCAGCATGGATGACAGAGCAAGACTCTCAAAAAAAAAAAAAGAAAGAAAGAAAGAAAGAAACTACAATACCATTAAGTTATTGGCTCATTTACTTGCGACAAATGTATCCCACTAATGTAAGATGTTCATAATAACAGAAACTGGGGATAGGATATATATATAGGAATTCTTTACACTGTCTTCTCAAATTTTCTGTAAATCTAAAATGATTCTAAAATAAAAGCGTTACTTTAAAAAGCATACTAAATAAAATTTAGATTCTAGATCAATGAAAGGCGCATCGCCCATTCCACCACTCGAATACAATTATTTTTGTCACTTCGTTGTATTCCTTTGTACATTTTTGTATGCATAATTATAAAAACAGCAAATAACCCTGGGCGCGGTGGCTCATGCCTGTAATCCCAGCACTTTGGGGGGGGCCGAGGCAGGTGGACCACCTGAGGTTAGGAGTTTGAGATCAGCCTGGCCAACATGGGGAAACAGAAACCCTGTCTCTACTAAAAATACAAGCGATTCTCCCGCCTCAGCCCCAGAGCAGCTGGGATCACAGGCACCCACCACCACACCCAGATAATTTTTGTACTTTTAGTAGAGACGGGGTTTCACCATGTTGGCCAGGCTGGTCTCGAACTCCTGACCTCAGGTGATCCACCCACCTCAGTCTCCCAAAGTGTTGGGATTACAGGCGTGAGTCACCGCATCCAGCCTAACTCATATAGTTTTCAAAATGACCTTATGCAGGACGTACCATTATTATGCTCACTTTACACATCAAGATCCAGAGTGGTTAAAAAATAAAATAAAATAAATATAAAAATTAGCCAGGCGTGGTGGTGGGTGCCTGTTATCCCAGCTACTCTGGAGGCTGAGGCAGGATAATTGCTTGAACCCAGGAGGCAGAGGTTGTGGTAAGCCGATATCGCACCACTGCACTCCAGCCTAGGCGACAGAGTGAGACTCCATCTCAAAAATCAAAAACAAACAAACAAAAAAAACAAAAAAAAAAACCCTGCAAATAATTTGATATTGTTCTATATCCTGCTTTTGTTGTTTAATAATTCAGAAACATTTTATCCAGTTTGCTCCATGATTTTGCCATCCTGTTGCTCCATGGTCATGATGATGTCATGGTCAATGGCAGCACGGTATGCCCATCTGACACAGAAATAGATTCTAGGATGCGAGTCTGAGGGCCGGAGCCAGAACCCTCCCAGTAGATGGAATGATATAGCCCAAGCTTGTCCAACCCATGGCCTGCAGGCCTTATGTGGCCCAGGACAGCTTAGAACACAGCCCAACACAAATCTGTAAATGTTCTTAAAACATTATGAATTTTTTTGCTTTTTTTTTTTGAGATGGAATCTTGCTCTGTCTCCCAGGCTGGAGTGCGGTGGTGTGATCTCAGCTCACTGCAACCTCTGCCACCTGGGTTCAAGCAATTTTCCTGGCTCGGCCTCCCTGGTAGCTGGGATTATAGGTGCACGCCACCACACCCAGCTAAACTTTTTGGATTTTTAGTAGAGACGGGGTTTTGCCATGTTGGCCAGGCTGATCTTGAACTCCTGACCTCAAGCGATCCACCCGCCTCAGCCTCCCAAAGTGTTAGGATTATAGGCGTGAGCCACTGTGCCTGGCCTTTTTGTGATTTTTTTAAAGCTCTTCAGCTATCATCAGCATTAGTATATTTTACGTGTGGCCCAAGACAATTCTTCTTCTTCCAATGTGGCCCAGGGAAGCCCAAATATTGGACACCCCTGGTATAGACAGAGGATCTGAGGGGAGATTCTGTGACAGAGTGAACTTGGCCTGAGAGAGCTTAGGTGATGAGGCTGGAAGGTAAGTTGAGACCAGGGCCCCAGAGCCTTGAATGCCGGAGAGGGGTGGGTGGTGGAAGGTATTGGGGATTTTCAGTGATTTTCTCATGACCTTATCTGGGATCCTAAGGGGACTTGAAAGAAGATGAGACAGGCTTAAAAGCCTGTGCCTGGGAGATGGATGCTATTGACAAGATCAATAGAGAATTCAGGAAGAAGACCATCAGATGTGTGTGTGTTGTTAGGATTGAGTTTTCTTTGTTGGTTGGTTCAGAAAGAGGAGATAAAGGTGTGTGGAGTTTGGGGTATGTGAGATTTGTTGTGCCAGTGAGACTGCTTGTGTAGATGACACAGCACTAGGTACTGTGCTTAGGATTCATGCATTGGGAGGTTATAGTTGAAGCCCTAGGCATGGATGAGACTGTCAAGGAAAATCGTCCTTATAGGAAAGCGGAGAGGTTAACCAAGATGAAACCTTGAGGAACACTTACTCTTGGAGGTCAGAGGAAGAAAGGAGCTCAGAGGTAACTAGAGGAATAGCCAGAGAAGAAAACCATCTGTGCTCAAGGCAACGATTCTTTCCTTCATAGCACTGATCCTAGTTCATAGTCACATGTTTGCTGACTATTTCATTGTCTTCACCCATTGATTAGGCTATGCCCCTTGAGGGCAGGGACTCCTGTGTCTTTTTGCTCATAATTGTATCTTCAATGCCTACTACATAGTAGGTCCCAATAACTGTGTATTGAATAAAGAAAGGGAAAAGCCAGGGGAGGGCATCGCTTCACATGTCGAGGAAGGAATGGTCACCACCCTCAGGAGGCACAGCGTGGTCAAGAGGGAGACCTACCAAGATGTCATTGGATTTACTTGCAAGAGTTAAGAAGTGAGTATGAGAATGTTTATGCAGTTCTATCCAGAAATTCATTAAGGTAGCAAAGAAAAATATTAAAATGTTATTTGAAGATATTGGAAAGTACAGAAAAGGCTTCCTTTCTACTTTTCAGGATGAGAAACTTCAGGATTTTAGAAAGAAAAAGGATCAGCAGGAGTGGAGGATTAAAAATAATAGAGAGAAGGGGGATAATACGTGGGATGTTTTCCTATAGAAGGTAGAGGGGATTCATTTTCTTAGCAAATATTTATTGATAACATATGTTTGGTAGAAAACACACAGCACTAGATTTTCCTCAAGGAATCTGTAAGCTGGCAAGGAAGTCAAGATATATGCACACATAATTTTGATAAATAAGAGTCGTCAAAGGCATAGAGAGATGAATTTGCATTTTAAAAGTAAAAACCTCAGCCAGGCATGGTGACTCAGGCCTGTAATCCCAGCACTTTGGGAGGCCGAGGCAGGAGAATTGCTTGAGACCAGGAGTTCAAGACCAGCCTGGGCAATAAAGTGAGACCCCATCTCTATTAAAAAAAAAAATGTCTTTCTTTCCTTTTTTTTTTTAGATGGAGTCTCACTCTGTCGCCCAGGCTGGAGTGCAGTGGTGTGATCTCAGCTCACTGCAACTTCCACCTCCTGGGTTCAAGCGATTTACCTGCCTCAGCCCCCGAGTAGCTCGAACTACAGGCGTGCACCACTGCACCCGGCTAATTTTTGCATTTTTAGTAGAGACCACCATAGGTCTCACCATATCGGCCAGACTGGTCTCTAACTCCTGGCCTCAGGTGATCTGCCCTCCTCGGCCTCCCAAAGTGCTGAGATTACAGGCGTGAGCCACTGCACCCAGCCAAAACTTTCTTTTTAATTAGCTAGGTGTGGTGGTGCACACTTGTAGTCCCAGCTGCTTGGGAGGCTGAGGCAGGAGAATCACTTGAGCCTGGGAGGTTGAGGCTGCAGTGAGCCGTGATTGTGCTACTGCACTCCAGCATGGGTGACAGAGCAAGATCTTGTCAAAAAAAAAAAAAAAAAAAAGTAAGAACCTTAACTCTTTTTTAGAGGCAGGACTCAAAGAAGGTTGGATGGGGAAAGATAGAAATATACTTTTTAGATGCAAAGTCAAGAAGTTGAGTTAGTTGATGTGAAACTGGTGTTGTGCCTTGAATCACGGCATTTGGTTGGGACAGTTGGTTGGGACAGGAGGGAGGAAATGGAGCAGAGTTATTAGGGGGCTAAAGAGTTTGCTCTGTTCATACAGCAGGGAGGCAGAGACCTGCGTGAAATAGGCAATGCTATGACAGTATTTGATAAATGTGAAATAGATTGCCAGATGGTAGATGGTGAAACATCCATTCATCCCTCCATCTTTCAAGTATTTCAGTGCCAAGAATGTATTACCAGCACTCCCTTAGGGTCTCCAGATACAATGGTGAATACCTAGAGCTTACAGTCAAGTTTGGCATTGAAAATCTCCAACTGGGAAGGGTGAGTGGAAGTGTTTGTGGATGCTCCAATCACAGAAGCTCCGTAGGCAAGTACACTAAGAAAATCCCCCTCTTAGAGAAGCTCAGCACATATCCCTAAAGGCAAAAGATAGAGAGGACACCTGATCGACAGGTAAGCTTAGTTGAACAGAGAAATACTTGTTTTTCCCACCCCTGGGGCATACCTGTTAAATGTCCCCTGCATCTCATGTTTCCTGTAAACACTACTTTGGGAAGAGTTGTTCAAATGGAAGTCTTGAATGCCAGGATGGAAGAGTGTGAACTTGATGTCCCACACCCTGGAAAGTTCCCGAAAGAGTCTGACGGTGGAATGATGGGGTAAAAAGGCAGAGTTCTAGAAAGGTCATCCTAGCAGGGGATGGTCTAGGGGTTAGATAGGAAGAAAGACTGAGGCCAGGAGAGCCTGAGGGCTATTGCAGTCACCTAGGGATGTAATCCCAAGGGCCTGGATTTGGGTTGTGGCAGGGAGAAGGAAGAGGGGAGACTGCAGTTCTAAAATGTTGGTGTTGGTGTATTAGGGCTGCCATAACAAAGTGCCACGAATGAAGTGACTTAAACTTACCATCATCTCATAGCTCTGGAGGCTACAACAAATCTGAACTCAAGGTGTCGGCAGGGTTGGTTCCTTCTTTTTTTTTTTTTTTTTTTTTTGAGACTTGCTCTGTCACCCAGGCCAGAGTGCAATGGCGTGATCTCAGATCTCAGCCCACTGCGACCTTTGCCTCCTGGGTTCAAGCGATTCTCCCGCCTCAGCCTTCTGAGCAGCTGGGATCACAGGCACCCACCATCATGCCCAGCTAATTTTTGTATTTTTGTAGAGACGGGGTTTCACCCTGTTGGCTAGGCTGGTCTTGAACTCCTGACCTCAGGTGATCCGCCCACCTTGCGCCCTGCCCAGGGTCGGTTCCTTCTGAGGGCTGTGAGGGAAGGACCTGCTCCAGGCCTCTCTTCATGGCTTGTAGCTGGCTGGCTTCTCCCTGTGTTTCTTCACATAGTTTTCCCTCTTTGTCTGTCTGTGTCCAAATTTCCCCTTTCCATAAGGAAGCCAGTCATATTGAGTTAGGGCCCACCCCAATGACCTCATTTTAACTTGATTACTTCTGTAAGGACCCCATTTCAAAACACAGTCACATTCCAAGGTACTGAGGGTTAGGATTCCAACATGGGAATTGTGTGGAGACACAGGTCAATCCACAACAATGTTTGAAAACAAAGCAAAACAAGAACCTTACAATAATAATAACAGCGCATTTTGAGGGAGAGATGAAGATGATTTGGTGTCTGGCAGACTCTGGGACAGAAGTGGAGGGAAGGGCTGAAGGTCCATTTCAGAGAACCCCGGTGGTGACCAGGGCTGTGGTGGGTGCCACTGTTGAAAATAGAAAAACCACTTGTTTGGGCAGTGGGAAAAGCAAGTAGAGAGTCTGATCAACAAAAACTGAAGACCCCATGTCATTTTATCCTCCGAGGGCTGATTGTCTAGTTGGTGGATTACCTAATGCTATCATTTTCCCACTCCCTGCAAATCATCCGTAGTTGATTCTTTTATTATTATTTTTAATACGCTTTACGTTTTTGGAGAATTTTTAGGTTCACAGCTGAATTGAGCAAAAGGTGCACAAATTTCCCATTCACTCCCTGCCCCCACTCATGCACAGCTCCACCCCCATTGTCAGCATCCTGCATCGTAACGGTGCGTTTGTTATGATTGATGAACCTACGCTGACACACCATTATCATCCAAAGTTCAAATTGGTTTAAATTAGGGTTCACCCTTGGTGTTGTACATTCTATAGGTTTGGACAAACGTCTGATGACATGTATCCACCATTCTAGTATCTTACAGAGGAGTTTCGCTGCCCTAAAAATCCTCTGAGCTCCACCCATTCATCTCTCCCTCACCACTAATTTCTGACCAACAACTGACCTTTTTACTGTCTCCATACTTTTGCCTTTTGCAGAATGTCACATAGTTGGAATCATATGCTATGTAACCTTTTCAGATTGGCTTCTTTCCCTTAGTAATATGAATTTAAGTTTTCTTGCTGTCTTTTCACTGCTTGATAGTTCATTTCTGTTTAGTGCTTAATAATATTCCACTGTCTGTATGTACCACAGTCTATTTATCTATTCACCTACTGAAGGATGTCTTGGTTGCTTCCAAGTTTTGGCAATTGTAAACAAAGCTGCTGTAAACATTCACGTGCAGATTTTTGTGTGGCCATAAGTTCAGCCCCTTTGGATAAATCCAAGAAGCATGATTGCTGGCTCATACAGCAAGAGGCTGTTTAGGTTTCTAAGATGCCGCCAAACTGTCTTCCAAAGTGGCTGTACCATTTTGCATTCCCACCCAGCAATGGATGAGAGTTCCTGTTGCTCCACATCCTTGTCAGCATTTGGTATTGTCAGTGTTCTGGATTTTAGCTATTGTAATAGGTATGTAGTGGTATCTTATTGTTGTTTTAATTTGTATTTCTTTGATGATATACGATGTAGAGCATCATTTTATAGCTTATTTGCCATTTGTGTATCTTCTGTGATGAGGTGTTTGTTAAGGGCTTTGGCTCATTTTAAAATCAGGTTATGTTCTTATTGTTGAGTTTAAAGAGGTTTTATATATTTCAGATAACAGTCCTTTATCTGATATGTCCCTTGCAAATATTTTCTTCCAGTCTGTGTCTTTTCTTTTCATTCTTTTGACAGTGTCTTTCACAGAGTAGAAAGCTTTAATTTTAATGAAGTCCAGTTTATCAATTATTTCTTTCTTGGATTGTGCCTTTGGTACTATATCTAAAAAGTCATTGTCATGCCCAAGGTTAACTAGATTGTCTCCTATGCTATCTTCTAAAAATTTTATAATTTTCTATTTACTTCTAGGTCTGTGACCCATTTTGAGTTAATTTTTGTGAGAGTTTAAAGAGTTTAAATTTTGTGAGAGCTTAAGGTGTGTGTCTAGACTAATTTTTTTTTGTTATTCCAGTACCATTTGTTGAAAAAACTATCTTTCCACTATTATATTGCCTTTGCTCCTTTGTTAAAAATCAATAGACTATATTTATGTGGTCCTATTTCTGGGTTCTGTATTCTGTTTCATTCATCTATTTTGCTTTTATTTGTCTCTTGTTTGCCAATACCACACTGTTTTGATTACTGTAGCTTTCCAGTAAGTCTTAAAGTTGGGTAGTATCAGTCTTTCAACTTTGTTCTTTTCCTTCACTGTTGTGTTGGCTATTCTGGGTCTTTTTGTCCCTCCATGTAAATTTTAGAATCAGTTTGTTGACATTCACAAAATAACTTGCTGGGATTATGATTGGGATTGCATTTAATCTATAGATCAATTTGGAAGAACTGATACCTTGACAACATTGAGCCCTCCTATTTATGATCATGGAATATCTCTCCATTTACAGGGCATGCCTCTTTTTATTGTGTGTTATGTTATTGTATTTTGCAGATATTGCATTTTTTTTTTTTTACAAATTGAAGGTTTGTGGCAACCTTGTGTCAAGCGACTCTTGCTGCCATTTTTCTAACAGCATGTGTTCACTTTGTGTCTCTGTGTCACAATTTGGTAATTCTCACAATATTTTGGTATTTGTTATGATGATCTGTGACTCGTGATCTTGATGTTACTATTGTAATTGTTTTGGGGCACCATGAACTGCACCCATATAAGACAGTGAACTTAACTGATAAATGTGTGTGTTCTGACTGCTCCAATGACTGGCCATTCCTCTGTCTCCCTCTTCTTGGGCCTTCCTATTCCCTGAGACACAACAGTATCGAAACTAGGCCAGTTGATAACCCTACAATGAGCTCTTAAGTGAGGAAGAGTTGCATGTTTCTCACTTCAAATCAAAAGCTAGAAATAATTAAGTTTAGAGAGGAAGGCATATCAAAAGCCAAGATAGGCTGAAAGCTAGGTCTCTCATGCTAAACAGCCAAGTTATGAATGCAAAAGAGAAGTTTTTGAAGGAAATTAAAAGGGCTACTCCAGTGAACAAACAAATGATAAGAAAGCCATTATTCTTATCTTATACTTATCTTATTGCTGATATGGAGAATGTTTTAGTGGTCTAGATAAAAGATCAAACTACCCACAACATTCCCATAAGCCAAAGACTAATCCAGAGTAAGGCCCTAACCCTCTTTATTTATATATATATATTATATATATATAAATAATGTCATATATAAATATATATAAATGTATATAAATATAAAATATATAAATATAAATATATATTTATATATAATATATGTATTATATATATGAGATATATGAGATATATATAGAAGAAAGCCCTAGATGGCATCTTCTTCCAGGAAAGAAGTAAAAGAAATATTATATATTATATTATAAATATGTAAATATATATTTTATAATATGTAATATAATATTTATATATTATATATATATATTTTTTGAGATGGAGTCTCACTCTATTGACCAGGCTGGAGTGCAATGGTGCGATCTCCGCTCACTGCAACCTCCACCTCCTGGGTTCAAGCGATTCTCCTGACTCAGCCTCCTGAGCAGCTAGGATTACAGGCACCCCTCCCGCCCACCACACGTGGCTAATTTTTGTATTTTTAGTAGAGACAGGGTTTCACCATATTGGCCAGGCTGGTCTTGAACTCCTGACCTCAAGTAATCCACCTGTCTCGGCCTCCCAAATTGTTGGGAATACAGATGTGAGTCACCGCACCCGGCCTCCTAACCCTCTTTAATTCTATAAAGGCTGAGAGAATTGAGGAAGCTGCAGAAGAAAAGTTTGAAGCTAGCATAGGTTGGTTCATGAGCTTAAGGAAAGAAGTCGAAGTCATCTCCGTAACATAAAAGTGTGAGATAAAGCAGTAAGTGCTGATAGAGAAGCTGCAGCAAGTAATCCAGAAGATGTAGCTACCATCATTGATGAAACTGATGAAGGTAGCTATACTAAACAACAGATTTCCAGTGTAGACGAAACAACCTTTCACTGGAAGAAGACGCCATCTAGGACTTTCTTTCTTTCTTTTTTTTTTTTTTGAAACCGTGTCTCATTCTGTCACCCAGACTGGAGTGCAGGGGCACCATCTCAGCTCACTGCAACCTCCACCTCCGGGGTTCAAGTGATTTTCGTGCCTCCACCTCCCAAGTAGCTGTGATTACAGGCATGCACCACCTTGCCCAGCTATTTTTTGTATTTTTAGTAGAGACAGGGTCTCACCATGTTGGCCAGACTGGTCTCAAACTCCTAACCTCAAGTGATCCTCCCGCCTTGGCCTCCCAAAGTGCTGGGATTACAGGTGTGAGCCACTGTGCCTGGCCATGAGCCACCAAGCCTGGCCATCTAGGACTTTCCTAGCTAGAGAGGAGAAGTCAATTCCTGGATTCAAACTTTACAGGACAGGCTAACTCTCTTGTTAAGGGTTAATGCAGCCGATGACCTTAAGTTGAAGCTAATGATCATTGACCATTCCGAAAATCATAGTGCCCTTGGAATAAGGCTAAATTTACTCTGTCTGTGCTGTGCTCTATAAATAAAACACCAGGCTTGGATAACAGCACATCTGTTTATAGCATGGTTTACTGAATATTTTAAGCCCACTGTTAAGACCTAGTGCTCAATAAAAAAGATTCCTTTCAACACATTACTGTTCATTGACGATGTTCCTGGTCACCCAAGAGCTTTGATGGAGATGTACAAGGAAATTAATGTTGTTTTCATGCCTGCTAACACAATATCCATAGTGCAGCTGCTATGGTTTGAATGTTTGTCCTCCCCAAAACTCATGTTGAAATTTAATCCCCAAGGTAGTAGTTGGGAGAGGTGGAGCCTTTAAGAGGTGATTGGTTCGTGAAGGCTCTGCCATCATGAATGGATTAATCTGTTCATGGATTAATGGGCTTATGGATTAATGAGTTATCGTGAGAAAGGAACTGAAGGCTTCCTAAGAAGAAGTTACCATATTAGCATGCCCAGTTCCTTTGCCATGAGATACCCTGCACTGCCTCAGTAGAGTCCCCACCGGCAAGAAGGCCCTCACCAGATGCAGCCCCTCAACCTGGGACTTCTTTGCCCCCAGAACTGTAAGAAATAAATTCCTTTTCTTTATAAGTTGCCACGTTTCAGATATTCTGTTATAAGCAACAGAAAATGGACTAATACAGCACCCCATGGACCAAGAAATAATTTTGACTTTCAAGTCTAATTTAAGAAATACATTTGGTAAGACTAAAAATAGTGATTCCTCTGATGGTTCTGTGAAAAGTAAGTTGAAAACCTTCTGGAAAGGATTCACCATTCTAGATGCTATTAAGAACATTCATGATTCATGAGAGGAGATCAAAATATCAACATTTACGGGAGTTTGGAAGAAGTTGATTCCAACGCTCATGGATGACGTTGAGGGATTCAAGATTTCAGTGGGGGAAGTAACTGCAGATACAGTAGAAATAGCAAGAGAATTAAAATTAGAAGTGGTGCCTGAAGATGGGGCTGGATTTCTGCAGTGTGATGATAAAACTTGAATGGATCAATAGTTGCTTCTTATGGATGAGCAAAGAAAGTAGTTTCTTGTGATGGAATCTGCTCCTGGCAAAAATGCTGTGAACGTTGTTGAAAAGACAACAAAGAGTTTAGAGTAGTACATAAATTTAGAATAGTACATAAACTTAGAATAGTACATAAACTTAGTACATAAATAATGCACGAAGCAGGGGCAGGGCTTGAGAGAATTGACTTCAATTTGGAAAGAGTATCTACTGTAGGTTAGATGCTCTCAAACAGCATCATACGCTCCGGAGAAATCTTTTGTGAAATGAAGAGTCCATTGATGTGGCAAACCTTATTATTGTATTTTTAAAGAAATTGCCATTTCCACCCTAATCTTCAGCAACCACCACCCTGAGCAGTCAGCAGCCATCAGCATCAAGGCAAGACCCTCCATCAGCAGAAAGACTACAACTTGCTGAAGGCTCAGGTGATCATTAGCATTTTTTAGCAATAAAATATTTTTAAGACGTACTTTTTTAGACATAATACTATTTCTAGACTACAGTATAGTGTAAATATAACTTTTTCGTGCACTGGGAAACCAAAAATTTATGTGACCTGCTTTATTGCTATATTTGTTTTATTAACTATGTTTTATTATTATTATTATTTTATTTTATGTTTAGTTAAATCATATTAACTAATATAGTTTACAAAATGACCCTATGCAGGATGTACCATTATTAGGCCCACTTTACACATCGAGATCCAGAGAGGTTAAATAATTTAAGGTCATACAGTACTGAGTACTGATTCTCCTGTCTTGACTCTCCCATCTTTTTTTTGAAATGGAGTTTCACTTTTGTTGCCCAGGGTGGAGTGCAGTGGCACAATTTCGGCTCACTGCAACCTCCGCCTGCAGGGTTCAAGCGATTCTCCTGCCTCAGCCTTCTGAGTAGCTGGGATTACAGGCATGCGCCACCACGCCTGGCTAATTTTTGTATTTTTAGTAGAGACGGGGTTTCGCCCTGTTGGTCAGAGGCTGGTCTTGAACTCCTGACCTCAGGTGATCCGCCCAACTCGGTCTCCCAAAGTGCTGGGATTATAGGCGTGAGCCACCGCGCCTGACCAACTCTACAATGTTGATTCTATCACCATGGTCACTGCACAATTACCTGATATGGGCAGTGCACTCTAAGCTGAATTTTTGCACCTGCCCCCAGCAGCCAACCCCACCTCTTCAGTCTGAAACTGAACCCACAATAATTCTGAGATATGCCTGTAGTTTTTATTTCTTTCATCAGAGTTTTTATAGTTTTCCTCACATAGATCATATATGTATTTTGTTAGATTTCAACCCAAGTATTTCATCTCGGAGGGAGTTAATATGTTATAAATGGTATTGTGTTTTAGATGCCAGGATCTACTTCTTCATTGCTGATATATAGGAAAGCAATTGACTTATTTGTATTAATCTTGTATCCTGCCACTCTGCCATAATCATTTACTTTTTTGATGACTGTTTCAGATTTTCTACATAGACAGTCACATCATCTAAGCAAAGACAGTTTTATTTATTCTCCACTGTAACGTTTATTTACTTTTCTTGTGTTATTGCATTAGCTGGGACATAATAAATTCTTTTTTTTTTTGAGACAGAGTCTTGCTCTGTCACCCAGGCTGGAGTGCAGTGGTGCAATCTCAGCTCACTGCAACCTCCGCCTCCCAGGTTCAAGTGATTCTTCTGCCTCAGCCTCCCGAGTAGCTGGGATTACAGGCATGTGCCACCACGCCCGGCTGATTTTTGCATTTTTAGTAGAGATGGGGTTTCACTATGTTGACCAGGCTGGTCTTGAACATCTGACCTTAGGTGATCTGCCTGTCTTGGACTCCCAAAGTGCTGGGATTACAGGCGTGAGCCACCGCACCCAGCCCATAATCAATTCTTTATTGACTGTCCTCTACATCTAAGGATGAGCTAGGCAGGAAGGAGGAGCACACTACAGCAGGGATCTTTGCCACTGGCCAGTGTCACAGGAGGTAGAAATGGAGGAAGAAGAAGATTAAATTGGTGACTAATAAACTTTTCAATATAGTTGTAAGTCACATGACAGTCTTCATAAATGTGCATGCCCATATTTGATGCCTCCAAGAGTCTTGGGAGGTGAGATATTACCTCCACTTCATAGATGAAGAAATGCAGAATAGTTAGACCATCTGTTCATGTTCCAGAAGAACGAAGGTGGGAGCCCAGGTTTTCTGTCTTCAGGCTCCCCCCTTGCCTGCCTTTGTGCCTTTCCTTTTTCTCAGCAGTTCCACCCCTGTTGGAACCAATCACTGTGAGCACCCATACACAAAGAATGCTTTCAGGATTGGCAGGTCTAAGTATCGGAGTGTCAATTGTCGGAGAGTGAGAAGTCGTGATTCATTATTGATGTCTGCAGCGCATGGCACTTATACTTTGAAAGACATAGAAATGCTTTATATGAAAAATGCAAGCTCCATTTTACTCTAAGAGAAGAGCGGGCCATCTTCCTACTGCCATTTTTTAAACAAAGACACAGAGGTCTTGAGTCCCTAAGGACCTTCTCCTTCTCCCCTCTGTTACCCAGACCTCCTGTACAGCCCTTGGCCTGGCTATGATTGCTTACGCCCAGTCTGCCTGTAGTTCAGTATTTTTCAAACTTTAGACGATAACATAGATTAGAAAGTCATAAGGAGGCCGAGGCAGGTGGATCACAAGGTCAGGAGTTTGAGACCAGCCTGACCAACATGGTGAAACCCCGTCTCTACTAAAAATAAAAAAAATTTAGCTGGGGATGGTGGCGCACACCTGTAATCCTAGCTACTCAGGAGGCTGAGGCAGAAGAATCACTTGAACGCAGGAGGTGGAGGTTGCAGTGAGCCGAGATCGCACCACTGCACTCTAGCCTGGGTGACAGAGCAACACTCCATCTCAAGAAAAAAAAAAAGAGAAAGTCATAAAAGCTTCTTAAGTCTTGACCAGCATTTCTACCAATGAAATGAGTAGTATACAATACAAAAAATTAGAAAATGTGTCAAAATGCTGTGCATGAAATAGAATTATTTTTGTAAATTTTTGGTTTTGAGTATATATTTTTTAAAAACACGTATATTTATGCAAAATAGTGTTACATGTTTCATTTCTGTAGGTTGTGGTCAAAAAGTTGAAAGAGCCCTGCACTAGACTGTGAGTTGCTTAAGGACAGAGAGGCTGTCCTGGTCCTGTTTGGTCCTCAATGTCATGCATGAAGTGTGCACGCACTGTAACGCATGTGAATATTTAGTGTCCACATTTGATCAGGTTGTCCCAGGTACTGCTCAGAGTGCTGAGATGTGGTGGTAAACAAAAGACAAGACCTCTGTCATCAGGAGCTGACAGCCAATGGGCGAGGAGGGGGCATAGCAGGGCAGGGCAGGTCACCAGTGCTGGCACCAGAGCACCTATAGCGAAATCTCTGTGACCCTGGGCAGTGCCTCTTCTTTTCTTTTCTTTCTTCCTTCCTTCCTCTCTCTCTCTCTCTTTCCTTCCTTCCTTCCTCCCTCCCTCCCTCCCTCTTTCTTTCTTTCTTTCTTTCTTTCTTTCTTTCTTTCTTTCTTTCTTTCTTTCCTTTCTTTCCTTTCTTTCCTTTCTTTCCTTTCTTTCTTTCTTTCTTTCTTCTTGATGGAGTCTCACTCTGTCACCCAGGCTTCAGTGCAGTGCTGCAATCTCGGCTCACTGCAACCTCCTCCTCCAGGTTCAAGCAATTCTCCTGCCTCAGCATCCCCAGTAGCTGAGATTACAGGCACGTGCCGCCACGCCTGGCTAATTTTGTGTTATTAGTAGAGACAGGGTTTTGCCATATTGGCCAGGCTGGTCACACATGTACCTCTTACCCTTCATTTGCATGTCCTCCCGCCATCCTACCCTTCTTAGCTGTTTTTGGATAATCCCTGAGCCTGCTGCATCACTTTGCACATAGAAAGTGCTTCAAACATCAGCCCTGTTAAGCGGGAGGGGTCAGCAAGCTTCAAGTGGCCACCCTATGAGTAGCACATTAGGCAGTAATGAGAATCCCTAAGGATAGATTTGAAAAAAACATGGAAAGTGCCTATTAGTTAGTGGCCCAAAGAAAACAGATTTAAATTTTGTTACTAACAGTATTAGTACCCATCTATGATCTGCTTAAACCAATGGTTCTGGTCCTCGACTGCACATTGGAATTACTTGGAGAACTTTTTTTTTTCTTCTTTTTTTTTTGAGACAGTTTCACTCTTGTTGCCCAAGCTGGAGTGCAAAGGCGCAATCTCGGCTCCCTGCAACCTCCGCCTCCCAGGTTCAAGTGATTCTCCTGCCTCAGCCTCCTGAGTAGCTGGGATTACACCTGCGTGCCACCATGCCCGGCTAATTTTGTACTTTTAGTAGAGACGGGGTTTCTCCATATTGGTCAGGCTGGTCTCAAACTTCTGACCTCAGGTGATCCGCCTGCCTTGGGCTCCCAAAGTGCTGGGATTACAGGCATGAGCCACCGCGCCTGGCCCACTCGGAGAGCTTTTATGAAGTACCAGTGCCTGGGCCCCTGCCCCAGAGATTCTGGCTTAAGTGGCCTGGGGTAGACTCCAAGCATTGATCTTCCTTAAATGTCCTAGGGCTTTCCCAGCACAGCCAGAGTGAGGAAGGCTGGCTTAGACCACGCATCCACAGGGCAGAGGAATGCAGACACGTTCACTGCTGAACTCTTCATGTGGTCTGCATGTGGGCTGCTCCTCCTGGCTGCCATGGAAGGCCTGCTGGGCTGAAGTTGAATTGGGCAGCCTGGGAGGGTCTGATCCTAGAGTCAGCCCCACCATGGCGGTCAGGGCAGGCCCACAATGACAGCCCCAGCTGCTGGGGAAGAGCATGAGAGAGCATATTCCCTGACTCCCAAAACCCTTTCCCCATTTCTAATATATTAACTCCCCCCAAAATAAAAGACTTAGGTTGAAATATAACAAAATACATATATGATCTATGTGAGGAAAACTATAAAAACTCTGATGAAAGAAATCAAATAACTAACTATAGGTGCTCCGGTGCCAGCACTGGTGACCTGCCCCGCCCTGCTATGCAAATTTCTTAGGCCAAGGAACGCACATTGGGAAATGCCGTCTTCACCTAACCAATGTGCATTTCTGATACAGAGATTGTGTAGACTTATAGGACATTAGAAGTGGAAGGAGCTGTATCATTTAGTTCAGATTTCTTTGCAGATACAAAAACAGAGGCCCAGAGATTTCTTCTTTTTCCTTTTCAGAAGCAACTGACATAACCATGTGTGTCTAGTCTGCTTGGGCTGCCGTAACTAAGTACCACAAAGTCGGAGGCTCAAACAACAGAGATTTATGGTCTCCCAGTTCTGGAGGCTGGAAGTCTGAGATCAAGGTGCCAGCAGTGTTGGACTCTCCTGAGGGCTGTGAGGGAGATTCTGTTCTATGCCCCTCTCTTAGCTTCTGGTGGTTTGCTGGCACTTTTTGGCATTCCTTGGCTTGTAGAAGCATCATCGCAACCTCTGCCTGTTCTCCCTGTGTTCAGGCCTGTCTCCAAATGTCCCGATTTTATAAGGACACTGGCCATATTGGATTTTAGAGCCCACCCTAATGATCTCATAGTAACTTGCTTACCTCTGTAGAGACCCTATGTCCAAATAAGCTTACATTCTGAGATATTGGGTATCAGAACCCCAACATAGGGATTTTGCAGGGGACACAATTCAGTCCGTAACAGCACACAATAATTTGGTGATGATTATATTGCAGAATTTGTCTCGAAATCTGATACTTAGTAGACGTTTATTAAATGGAATGGATGGATGAATACATAAGTCTTAGCATCCAGGGTATTGTGTGTTTATCTGTATCAGAAAACATACACCTTGATGGTTTCCATTCTCCTCTGAGCAGAAGGCTGGAGTTTTCCAGACCAGCCTCCACTGTCATGAATCATTTTGCTTTATTATTCGTTCTGGCTATATCGGTTATACTTACATCTTTTCCTATGCATTCTCTTTTGTTCTACTTCCCATCCGGGATATGGCTGCATATGCTTACCTACCCTTTGCTAAATCACAAAGCCTTAGCTGTGATAGGTACTCGTTATTTGTTTAAAACTGTTAATAGTAACAGCAAGCTAGGGATACAGAATTCTTTCTGTTACATGATTACTTTTCTATTATAAAAGTAATAGGCGGCTGGGCGCGGTGGCTCACGCCTGTAATCCTAACACTTTGGGACGCCAAGGCAGGTGGATTGCCTGAGCTCAGGAGTTCGAGACCTGCCTGGCCAACATGGCGAAACCCCGTTTCTACTAAAAATACAAAAATTAGCCGGGTGTAGTGGTGTGCGCCTGTAATCCCAGCTACTGGGGAGGCTGAGGCATGAGAATCCCTTGAACCCGGGAGGCGGAGGTTGCAGTGAGCCGAGATTACACCACTGCACTCCAGCCTGGGTGACAGAACGAGACTCTGTCTCCAAAAAAAAAAAAAAGTAATAGGCTTATTAAAAGATGATGAATGATGAGGGCCCAGTGTGGTGGTGCAAGTCTGTAGTCCCAGCTACTTGGGTGGCGGTGGCTGAGGACGAAGGATCGCTTAAGCCTAGGCATATGATCGATATAATCGTGCCACCACACTCCCACCTGGGCCACAGAGGAAGACTCTGTCTCTAAAATAATAATAATAATAAAGAAAATGAAGGAAGTATGATCTTCTCTTTTTTCCCTTTGCATGGGTATAATTTTTTTTTGTATAGTTATAGTCACACTGTATAGACAATGGAATGTCTTGCTTTCTTCACTTACTACAGTATCATAAACATTTTGTATAAAGAGTTAATTTGATGTGATCAAATGAATAATCATTATTAATTAAAAATTTTAAGGCCAAGTGCTGTTCTAAGGACTTCCCTTCTCCCCCCAACCCCCCCTTTTTTTTTCTTTGAGACAGAGTCTTGCTCTGTGGCCCAGGCTGGAGTGCAGTGGTGCAGTCTCAGCTCACTGCAACCTCCGTCTCCCAGGTTCAAGCGATTCTCCTGCCTCAGCCTCCCGAGTAGCTGGGATTACAGGCATCTGCCACCACACCTAGCTAATTTATGTAGTTTTAGTAGAGACGGGGTTTCACCATGTTGGCCAGGTTGGTCTCAAACTCCGGACCTTAGGTGAGCCACCCTCCTCGGCCTCCCAAAGTGCTGAGATTACAGGCGTGAGTCACTGCATCCAGCCTAACTCATATAGTTTTCAAAATGACCTTATGCAGAATGTACCATTATTATGCTCACTTTACACATCGAGATCCAGAGTGGTTAAATATTTGTTTAAGGTCATACAGTACTGAGTACTGATACTACTATCTTGACTCTACCCTCTGGATTCTATCACCATGGCCACTGCACAATTACCTCATATGGGCAGTGCACGCCCAGCTGAATTTTTGCGCCTATCCCCAGCAGCCAACCCCAGTTCTTCCTCTCCCAGGGGTACACAATGCAAGTCTTGACTCTGCTACTCAATACTGTATGACTGGAAACATGATGATAGAATCTACTATCTTGATTCTATCGCCATGGCCTCTGGAGCTAGATGGACCTTCTCAGTCCCTAGCTTTGCTACTTTGCTGTGTCACCTGGAGCTGGTTCCCAATCCCTCTCAGTCAGCTTTCTCCTCGGTAAAATGGACATCTTAATACTGATCTCCTAGCACACAGTAAGTGCTCAATAAATATCTGGTTAACGTTATATTTACATGAAACAAACTCAGTGGAGTATTTGTCTGTCATCCAGTTCAAAGCTTCCTTCCTTTCTTTTTTTTTTCTTTGGAAACAGAGTCTTGCTATGTTGCCCAGGCTGGAATGCAGTGGCATGATCTTGGCTCACTGCAACCTCTGCCTCCCAGGTTCAAGGAATTCTCCTGCTCCAGTCTCCTGAGTAGCTGGGACTACAGGTGCCCACCACCATGTCTGGCTAATGTTTGTATTTTTAGTAGAGATGGGGTTTTGCCATGTTGCCCAGGCTGGTCTTGAACTCCTAACCTCAAGTGATCTGCCTGCCTTAGCCTCCCAAAGTGCTGAGATTACAGGCGTGAGCCACCACACCTGGCTCAGAGTTTCTTTCCTCACCTTCAGCTCAGGCCTGATCTGAAATTTGGAGGCCTTAAAGTTAGGCGGTTGGACCTGGCTCTCTCCCTCCTCCCCGGAGATGAGAATTTGGCCACTGCACAATTACCTGATATGGGCAGTGCACTTCCAGCTGAATTTTTACACCTCCCCCCAGCAGCCAACCCCAGCTCCTTCTCTCCCAGGAATACACCTTGCACCTCTTACCTGAGCAGGTAAGAGGCCTGCGTGCTTTCCAGAAGGCACTGGTGCATGTGACCCATGGAAAACATGCCCCACTGTGCCATCATCCAGGGCGGCTCCAGCTAGCATCTTGCTTCCTCATGCCCACAGGTTAGGTCTTCCAGTGGCAGAAAGGTTGGGCCTGTGAGTACCCACAGTCCACAAGAATCCAGCTGGGGAGTGAGAGGCTGGTCCCCGCCCCTGCTGATAAGCACCCCCTAGTGGTGATCTTGACGCCCTCATCACTTGGCTTGGATGGGGCAGAGAGCAGCCCTGTTTCTCCTTATGAGCAGAGGGAGGGCAGCAGCCCCAGCTTTCACTCCTTCCGTGAATTTCTTCTAAGAAATCTCTTTCTCTTATTGATATGGTGTGGCTCTGTGTCCCCACCCAAGTCTCATCTCAAACTGTAATCCCCATGTGTCTTAGGAGGGAGCTGGTGGGAGGTGATTGGATCACGGGGGTGGTTATCCCCATGCTGTTCTCACGACAGTGAGTGAGTTTGCACGAGATCTGATGGTTTAAAAGTGTGTGGCCGATCCCCCCTCTCTCTCTCTCTTTCTTACTGCCATGTAAGACGTGCCCTGCTTCTCCTTCACCTTCTACCATGACTGTAAGTTTCTTGAGGCCTCCTCAGCCATGTGGAACTCTGAGTCAATTAAACCTCTTTTCTTTATAAATTACCCAGTCTCAGGCAGTTCTTTACAGCAGTGTGAAAATGGACTAATACACTTCTATAAGCTGAAGGTGGGGCTTGGGGCAAGGGTCATACCACCACATTTGACCCACCCTTAGCTGGTCTTGGGGTTTAAACAGCACCTCTCTGTGGAACATGTACACACCACTGTCCTCACTTGGGCCCAATCAAAACTCCTATGACACTAAAGACATCCCATCTCACATCCTCCTATAGGATGTCCCATTACAGTCTCCGCCGTATAGCTACGTAAGGGTTTCTTTATGTTTATTACGGGACTTGGAGATTGTTTCAACTATTTCACTGTTCTAAATGCTGCTTCGGTGAATGTCACGATGTGAGTACTTGCCCCCCACTCCCACATAAGGTTGTATCTTTCCTACAACTACCCTGATGTCTGTATTTGTAGACTAGACCTAAGGCTGATTGCCAGTTCGTTCTTCCACTAAGCAACCCAGAGGCACTCAAAGTCCCTTCCTAGTGATAAGTGCCACCAAATAAAAGAAATGATGCTGTTTTATCTGTTGAAAGCCTAGCAGTAACTACAGTCTTGTGCTGCATAATAAAGTTTACTGTCAACAACAGACCATGTGTACGCCAGTGGTCCCTTGAGATTCTTTTTTTCTTTTTTTTTTTTTTTTTTGAGATGGAGTCTCGCTGTCACCCAGGCTAGAATGCAGTGACATTGTCTCAGCTCACTTCAGCCTCCACCTCCCAGGTTCAAGTGATTCTCCTGCCTCAGCCTCCCAAGTAGCTGGGATTACAGGCGCGCACCACCGTGCCAAGGTTAATTATTGTATTTCTAGTAGGGATGGGGTTTCGACACATTGGCTGGGTTGGTCTCTAACTCCTGACCTTGTGATCCACCCGCCTTGGCCTCCCAAAGTGGTGGGATTACAGGCATGAGCCACCATGCCTGGCCGAGATTCTAATACCATGTTTTTACTGTGCCTCTTCTGTGTTTAGATATGTATTTACCATTGTGTTGCAGTTGCCTACAGTATTCAAGTCAGTAACATGCTGCACAGGTTTGTAGCCCAGGAGCAATAGGCTTTACCACCCAGCCTAGGTGTGTGGTGGGCTACACCATCCAGGTTTGTGTAAGGGCACTCTATGATGTTCACACAACGAAATCACCTAAGGACGCATTTCTCAGACCATATCCCCATTGTTAAGGGACACATGACTGTAATTGATTTCTTTGATATCTAACATGTCTCTCAAAAATTTAAGTTCTGCATTATGTTATACAGAATAAATGGGGAACTATCTTAGTTAATGATTGATGCTAAAGTAGCCACCCAATACATAGTGACTAGTTTTATCTTGTTTCCTCATCAAGGAAACAGAAATCTATTTCCAAGGATGCAGAGTTTGTATCTTTTTCTTTTTCTTTTTCTTTTCTTTTTTGAGACAGAGTCTCGCTCTGTTGCCCAGGCTGGAGTGCAGTGGCGTGATCTTGGCTCACTGCAACCTCCATCTCCCGGGTTCAAGCAATTCTCCTGCCTCAGCCTCCTGAGTAGCTGGGACTACAGGCGTATGCTACCACACCTGGCTAACTTTTTGTAGTTTTTTTAGTAGAGACAGGGTTTCACCCTGTTAGCCAAGATGGTCTCGATCTCCTGACCTTGTGATCTGCCCGCCTTGGCCTCCCAAAGTACTGGGATTACAGGCGTGAGCCACCGTGCCCGGCCTAGAGTTTGTATCTTCAGTGGGACACGCCCCTTTGTCTTTGACCCCTCACACACCGCCTGCACCTTCCTTTTAGAGAGCTGGATTCCTCCTTCCTCCTAGCCCCCATGCATACTCTGTCATTCAGAGACCAGGGCCCCATCTATTGTGCTTTATTTCCTAGGCTTGGTGTCATCCAGAACTAGAGCAGGGGGATGACTCGGCTTTGCTAGTCTTGACAATTTAGAAAGAGCCTGGGGCCTAGCTGCCCAGTTTGACAACTTGGCATCTTAAAGCCGAAGGGAACCTTAGAAATCACATTGTTCAGCCTCCTTGCTTTACAGATGAGGGAACCTGGGACAGTGGATGAGTAGCAGAGTTGGCCCGGGGCCTGGCCCAGCACCCCCGCCAGATGCCCAGCTTGTCTGAGTTGGTAGCAGTTGTTACCACCTGCTGCTGGGCCTCTTGCCTTGCCTAAATCTAGGGAGATATAGACTTTTCCACAGTTCTGAATGATACTCATCTGGCAGAATGGTACAGATAAAAGCTACTGGAACAAAACTGGGAGATGGAAGGGTTGCTCCTTTCCTTAAATTGGATGGAAAGGCCGTGTGTGGTGGCTCACGCCTGTAATCCCAGCACTTTGGGAGGCCAAGGCGGGCAGATCATGAGGTCAGGAGTTCGAGAGCAGCTTGGCCAATATGGTGAAACCCCATCTCTACTAAGAATACAAAAATTAGCTGGGCGTGGTGGCGGGCGCCTGTAGTCCCAGCTACTTGGGAGGCTGAAGCAGAAGAATCGCTTAAACCCGTGAGGCGGAGGTTGCAGTGAGCCGAGATTGTGCCACTGTACTCCAGCCTGGGTGACAGAGCAAGGCTCTGTCTTAAAAAAAAAAAAAATAGTGGATGGAGAGGCAGTGGGCAGAATCCCATCCAACAACTTCATTGGCTTGGCAGGGCAACCAGCTCACCAGACTCTCTGCAGACCCGAAGTCATTACATACAGTATGATAACAGGGAATGGACCCGACCAGCATTTGCTGGAGATGATATCTGGTGTCAGCCCGACAGGCCCCTACCTGCTTCTCTTGATATGCAGGAATCCCTTCAAGCTCCAACAAGATCTGTTTAATAGACTGGAGAGTCCTTTAGTTCCTTCCTCTAAGGGAAAATCAGATCGTTCTGGTTTGCTTGGTAACTCCTTACTTCATCCCTGATGGGAAGTTTATAGAATGAGGAACCAGGGCTATTACATGAAACTATAAAACTGCCTAGAGCACATACTTGGTATTTTTAACATTGTTGAGAGGGACTCACTTAATTCAGCCTTGCAGCTATTGCATTCCAGTCCAAACCAACGGCAGGTTCTCAAAACAAGCGGTGAAAGGGTTCCTGTTGCAGAGCTGTCTGGACATTAAAAGAAGGGAGAGGAAATCTCAAGGGGTCGGTTGCACTGGAATAGAAATCGCCTGTTCTTTTTTTTTGAGACGGAGTCTCGCTCTGTCACCCAGGCTGGAGAGCAGTTGCGCGATCTTTGCTCACTGCAACCTCTGCCTCCCGGGTTCACGCCATTCTCCTGCCTCAGCCTCCTGAATAGCTGGGACTACAGGCGCCCGCCACCACGTCTGGCTCATCTTTTGTATTTTTAGTAGAGATGGAGTTTCACCATTTTAGCCAGGATGGTCTCGATCTGCTGACCTTGTAATCCGCCCGCCTCGGCCTCCCAAAGTACAGGGATTATAGGCGTGAGCCACCGCGCCCAGGTGCCTGTTCCTTTTTTAAGAGTCTCACTCTGTCGCCCAGGCTGGCGTGCAGTGGCGCGATCTCTGCTTACTGCAGTCTCCGTCTCCTGAGTTCAAATCAAGCGAGAAATCACTTGTTCTCTTCTGTGAACGGAAGCATCGCGGATCTCCCTTGGCCTCACACTCCTCCATCTCCCTGATTCCTCTGTTCTTCATTTACCTACCTTCCCAGCAGTCTGCAGAGCTGGCCGCTCACTCACCTCTAGTAAGGGGATGGAGGGTCCTGTGTTGGAATAACTCACTGACCGCTAGAAAGTTAAAAATAAATGGGTAATGCCAGGAGAACTTGGCTGGTGCCTTAAAAGCCATAGAACTTCTCTTTCCATCTGTAGATAACTGTAGACAATTTTGTCCAAAACAGATAATGATCTGATTCTACCTCCCATTGGTATTTCCCTTCCTCGGCCTGTGACATCTCACTTTCTCTAGACTGAACTTTATCCCAGACTGTGACCTTGCCATGACCTTCCTCCTGCGTGTGCCTCTGCCACCACAGGAATGGCCACGCCTCAGATCATGTCACCGCTGGGAACAAACCCTCTACCCGCGACTCTGAAGTTCCCTCTCTGACCCTCTTTTCTTTCTTCCCCTCCCCCCTCCCCCTCACTCCCTCTGCACCTGTGTTTCGCTGTCACGCTCCCAACTCATCCCTGTAGAGCTGGTGAAGAGATGCTGATGTAGTTCTTGACCTTGAACCCCGGCCCTGCAGCCGTCCTGTGGCCTCACTGACCCAGCGTCATGCCCTGGTCAAGCATTTTGGTGATGCTCTTGGTGATTTTCAATGGGACCTGCCTTGCCAAGCCCGGGGCTTAGGTGAACCAGGACCACCTGCATTCTATGTTTTTGATTGCTGGAAAAAAATCATGAAATGTCAACTGTTGTTCTCATTTTTCCCACTGCCAGTTCCTGCTACCCAACCTCCGCCCTCATTTCAAGGCCTTGAGTACTTTTTTTCTATAGTGAAGTCTCCCAAAAATGATATTTTTTAAAAAAAGAAAAGCCATAGTACTCTGATTTGATGTGGTCTGTTAATACCTATGGGCTTTGACTTGTTTCTGCTTTTAGACCTAGACAAAATAAAATATCTGTGGTAAAACATATTCAAGTTTACCGGGCACGGGGGCTCACGCCTGTAATCCCAGCACTTTGGGAGGCTGGGGCAGGCAGATCACTTGAGCCCAGGAGTTTGAGACCAGCCTGGGCAACAGGGTGAAACAACATCTCTACAAAAATACAAAAAATACCTGGGCATTGTGGTGCATGCCTGTAGTCGCAGCTACTCGGGAGACTGAGGTGGGAGGATGGCTTGAGCTCTGGAGGCGGAGGTCATAGTGAGCCAAGATCGTGCCACTGAACTCCAGCCTGGGCAACAGAGGCAGATTCTTTCTCTCTAAAAAACATAAAATAAAAAAAGGCCAGGCGCAGTGGCTCACACCTGTAATCCCAGCACTTTGGGAGGCTGAGGGGGGCGGACGAAGAGGTCAGGAGATAGAGACCATCCTGGCCAACATGGTGAAACCCTGCCTCTACTAAAAATACAAAAATTAGCCGGGTGTAGTGGTGCATGCCTGTAATCTCAACTACTCAGGAGGCTGAGGCAGGAAAATCGCTTGAACCCAGGAGGCGGAGGCTGCAGTGAGCCAAGATCGCACCACTGCACTCCAGCCTGGGTGACAGAGCAAGACTCTGTCCCCCACCAAAAAAAAAAAAAAAAAAAATCAGGCCAAAGGGCAAAAATGCTTGCTTTTTAGCACTTAGTAGTTATTTCCCCAAGAAGAGCGGGAGAGAAGTTTATTAATAATGAAACTGGACAGTTCTTTATCAGCTCTAATTGTTTGACTCAATGGCTTCTCTTCTCATTACCATGCAGTGCTCTGCTGGCTGCAATGCCTTTGAACTTCACAAGAAGGTTAGAATTTCACTGAGACATTCGGATGGTGTGGGTGTCAGGGTGCAGCTCTCACACATAGTTGAGAGTGTAAATTGATACAACTTTATGGAAAATTAATTGGGAGTACCCATTCACACTCCTGTCTAGCAATCTCACTTTAAGGACTTGATCCTACAGAACTCATTACATGGTGCAAGGTTCACAGTGCGGCATTCAAAATAGAGAAGAGCTGCGGGTAACTCCCATGCCCGTTGGCAGGAACTGGTTGAATAAATTATGGTGCATCAGTGCTGTGGGGTATCATTAAACCATTAAAAAGAAGAGAGAGTCCTGGCCTTAAAAAACTTATCTGATGTATTGTTAAACAGATAAAGCAAGTTGTAGATCAATATGATTTGGGGCTAAAAAAATATTTCTATATAGGTGTGAACATGGCCATGACTAAGGAATCAGGAAGGAAGTACCTAGATTGTAACCAGTAACATGTGGGGAGTGAGATGGGATTGAGAGACGTAATAATAGATTGAGAGAAAAAGATTTTCCCATCTCTTTTTGATTTTTTAAGAAAACAGCATGATTTTCAGTAATTTTTACTTTTGTGTGTTTTTGGTATTTTTTCTTTTTCTTTTTTTTTTTTTTTTTTTGAGACGGAGTTTCACTCTTGTTGCCCAGGCTGGAATGCGATGGCCCAGTCCCAGCTCACTGCAACCTTCACTTCCCAGGTTCAAGAGATTCTCCTGTCTCAGCCTCCCGAGTAGCTGGGATTACAGGCCCCTGCCATTACGCCCAGCTACTTTTTGTATTTTTAGTAGAGATGGGTTTCACCGTGTTGGTTAGGCTGGTTTGAACTCCTGAGCTCAGGCGATCTGCCTGCTTCAGCCTCCCAAAATGCTGGGATTACAGCCGTGAGCCACCGCCCCCAGCCGGTATTTTTTCAAATCAAAGAAAAAATAATAGAGTAAATCATCCAAAACTTTAGATGGTATTTAGACTCAGTAAACTTTTCATATATGACAGATGAAGCCAAATGGTCTTTCTGTGCAGTCAGCTAGCACACAATTGTGCACCCGAGGAAAATTAGAGACTGAACCGGGGTGTCTGTGGATGCATTTCCTCAGCATTCAGCCTTCCTTTTGCCCGTGTTCTAGCATTACTTCTGTCCTACAGCCTGGGATTTGTGAATGAAATAGACAGGTGCAAAAACTCCCTGCCTGTCTGTAATATCCATAGCCCCGTGCTCTACTTGTATTTGCATGTACAAACCATAATCTCCTGTAAAATACTCTGTGATATTTCTGAATAATAATAAACTCTACATCCTACACAAAGGCAAAACCCCTGTATCTTTCATCTTTGAAACCATAGCAAAGGTATGAAATTACACCTGAGCATGCCTGGCCTCAAAGTCCTGGAACGGTTATGTCTTTGACCCTCACTTCAACTCAACTCCAGAAGAAGCAGGTCTTCCTTGTAATTGGATAGAAAACTCATTGTAGAGAAGAAAGATCTACAGGTCAAGAAACCCACAGGTTTGCTGTAATCCGAGCAAAGCACTGTAGCATTTATTTTATATTTTCACTCTTCTTATTTAGCTCTTTTTTTTTTTTTTTTTTTTGAGATGGAGTTTCATTCTTGTCACCCAGCCTGGAGCAATGGTGCCATCTCGGCTCACTGCAACCTCTGCCTCCCAGGTTCAAGTGATTCTCCTGCCTCAGCCTCCTGAGTAGCTGGGGTTACAGGCTCCCACCGCCACACCCAGCCAATTTTTTGTATTTTTAGTAGAGACGGGGTTTCACCATGTTAGCCAGACTGGTCTCAAACTCCTGGCCTTAGGTGATCCACCCGCCTCAGCATCCCAAAGTGCTGGGATTACAGGCGCACCGGCCTTAGCTCTTTTATCCTTAATGAAATGCTCCTCATTCCCTGAGGTCTCACTTGAATTCTTGCCCACCTCTGGGTTGCCTTCCTCTTCTGTCTGTGCTTTGTAACACGTGGTTCCTTATGATGTCAATATTTATGCATATGTCTTCATTCCATTACTGGATTATAATCTTGAAGCAACAGATTTTTGTCTCTATATCCCAGAGCCTAGAATGGATTCTTACACTGGGCAGTAAGTACTTAATAAATGTATCCCAAATCAAATAAATACATTTCTTCTTTTTCTTTTCTTTTTTTTTTTTTTTGAGACAGGGTCCCACTCTGTCACCCAGGCTGGAGTGTAATGACATGATCTCAGCTTACTACAGCCTCAATCTCCTGGGCTTAAGCAATCCTCCCACCTCAGCCTCCCACATAGCTAGGACTACAGGCGCTCACCACAACACCTCATTTTTGTATATTTTTTGTAGAGATTGGGGGATCTCACTACGTTGCCCCGGCTGGTTTTGAACTTCTGGGCTCAGACAATCCACCCACCTTGGCCTCCCAAACTGTTGAGATTACAGGAATGAGCCACCATTCCCTGGCCAAATACATTTCTAAAAGCCAGTTTCTGGAGTATACTGTCAAATAATAGATATATGTCCACATTTTTATACGGACTTATATTGTAAGAAAAAGTAAAAATAAGTGTGAAGTTATTACAGTAATAGTAATTATTTTGCAGAAAAAGAACTGAGTTTAAACAGGCTTTTTAGAAAAACCCAACAGGAGATTCACAGTCTGGTACTAACGTTTAGACATGGATCATCAGTAAATGTGTTCCAAAGAGTTACACAGATACCAGCTTTGTCTTGGGAATTCTTACCCCTGAAAATTGATTGACTATCACTGACTGTGTGACATGAGAAAGTTTTGTGGGGTTTTTTTTTTGTATTTTTTTGAGACGTAGTCTTGCTCTGTCACCCAAGCTGGAGTCCACTGGCGCGATCTTGGCTCACTACAACCTCTGCCGCCTGGTTCAAGCGATTCTCCTGCCTCAGCCTCCAGAATAGCTGCGATTACAGGCACCTGCCACCATGCCCGGCTAATTTTTGTATTTTTAGTAAAGACGGGGTTTCATCGTGTTGGCCAGGATGGTCTTGAACTCCTGACCTCAGGTGATCTGCCCACCTCAGCCTCCCAAAGTGCTGGGATTACAGGCATGAGCCACCGTGCCCAGCCTGAAAAAGTTTTGAACGGTCTAAATCCATATGCTGTGAATCCTATTACCATCACACACTTAGGCATTTAAAATCATATTTTCAAGGCCAGGTACTGAAATATTTTCTGCAAGCAGAGAGATCAAACTTTAGCATTGTTATTCTTGTAGTAGTTTCATAGTTTGAGGTCTTAGATTTAAGTCTTCCATTGATTTTGATTTGATTTTTGTATATGGAGATAGGGGTCTAGTTTCATTCTTTTGCATATGGATATCCAGTTTTCCCAGCACCATTTATTGAAGAGACTGTCTTTTTCACCAGTGTATGCTCTTGGCACCTTCGTCAAAAATGAGTTCCCTGTAGGTGTGTGGGTTTGCTTCTGGTTCTCTATTCTGTCCCATTGGTCTAAGTGTTTGGTTTTATGCTACTACCATGCTGGTTGGTATAGCTCTGCAGTATAACTTGAAAGCAGGTAATGTGATTCCAAAGAAGCTAGTTAAGTAATTGAGCTAAACTGGAACCTCAGGTGTAGAAGTCATAAGCGTGGGGAGCGTTTCTTCTCAGGTTCTCTGCCTATAATTTAGTTTGCCACACCAGATGAACAGTGACAACTTGGTCTTGGTGTTCGTGGTGGTTTCCAACCAAACTTTGGTCATAACAGGTGAACCAGCCTGGGGCATGCTTTCCCATTCGGTTATCCTCCCCATAGTTTGCAAAGTAGCAAAGATGAACTCTTCATGAGTTGGCTAAGCATAGACATTTCAAGACCAAACTAAACGTCCTGAAGAGCATGTTTCACATTAAACTAGCCCCTAAGGGACCAGTGGGGGCTGTCAGAGAACAAGGTTTCAACGTACTGAGTTTTAAAGATCTAATTGGCTTTTAATAACAATTCATGAACCAGGCACCATAGTCTACAAAATAGACAGGGTTTCTGCTGGGCACTGCAGGACAGTTGGTTTTTGGAAGGTGGCTTGAGCAGGAACAAGGAAAAAGCACCGTGCCAAGAGTGGATTGGTTAACATCAGGGGACTTCGGGTGACTTTCCTTCTATGGGTTAAAGCAAAGGGGACTTCCCTAGCATGTCAGCTCAGGTTGACTGGGCCCCTTTGGATTGGTTGCTGTGAATCTCCTAGTTTTTTTTGTTTTGGTTTGGTTTGGGTCTTTTGGGGAAAACGGGCCAGTTTGGAGATTCAGCTATTATTTCTCTCTCCTGATATCAGAAGATCAGATCTTATGAGTACACAGCTGAGGTTTTGGGTTGGTGATGTGGAACCCTGGTGTGAGTGACTCCATTTTGGGTTGGTCTATTGGGGTCTCGGTGCAGGAGCTCAGTCCAAATCAGTGGCCTCTCCTCATTTTTATTTGACTTCTCCATCAATCTATCCGTGTCTCCCGTCACATCAGTCCATTCCCCCGTGGGCTGCACATTCAGCTCGGAGCTGAGAGCTTTTCCCAGGGTGTGCCCTGGGGTTTCTGCTGCTTGCAGCCTGATATTAAATCTCAGGTGTAAATCTTCAGAGGCAACTGTTCCTTAGTACCCAGAGCTTTCAGCTCCCTGAGCAGAAATGGGACTTGACTGTCAGTTTATAAACTAACCAAGGTGTGAAATTCATGCAACTTAGCCGACTTTCTGTTCAAAGAATTCTTGGCAGCAGTTAATACATTTTGCCCAAATATAAGATAATTCCCTTGTACTCACAATGAGAAAGTTTTACAAAATGGGGGTTTTCTTTAGTTTACTTGAATATAAAACATAGGTGTTCCACTCTGCAGTACCTTAACAGTTCTTAAGGAGATGTTTGAAACAACCCATGTCCAGGCCTCACACCTCGCCAATTAAATAAATGAGAAGTTCTTCCCAGCCAGTGTTAAGAAAAATTAACATCAAGTTTTAGGAAGGTAGACAGATTATGCAAATGCATACCTATATGATTTAAGTTATTACATTAATTTACACACACATTTAAAATCATAGATTAATCTAATTTAGAGATGCTGCATTTTTTCCATCTCTCCTGTTTCATAAATGTTATTCACACGGCATTTCTCTGCTATCCTCGGAATAGTGTTTGTATCGTGTCACTCTGGCACGGGGCTCTACAGAACATGTCGAGCGTGTTGCCTTCCCTACTGCCCACATCGTTTGAGAGAACACATTTTAAACATTTTTTTATTGTGGTAAAATACACATAACATAAAAGTTACGATTTTAACCTTTTTTAACTCTGTCATCCAGGCTGGAGTGCAGTGGCGAGATCTTGGTTCACTGCAACCTCCGCCTCCTAGGTCCAAGTGATTCTCCTGCCTCAGCCTTCCGAGTAGCTGGGATTACAGGTGCACACCACCACGCCCGGCTAATTTTGTATTTTTAGTAGATGCGGGGTTTCACCATGTTAGCCAGGTTGGTCTCGAACTCCCGACCTCAGGTGATCAGCCCGCCTCGCCTCCCCAGTGCTGGGATTACAGGCGTGCGCCACTGTGCCGGGCCCATTTTAACCACTTTTAAGTGCACAGTTCAGTGGCATTAAGTATATTCGCGGTGTTGTGCGACCGTCACCACCATTCACCTCCAGAACTTCTCTGTCTTCCCAAACTGAAATTCTGTACCCATTGAACGGTAACTCCCCATTCCCCATTTCTGCTTCCTAGGCCCTGACATGGAGGCTGGGCCAACGGATATCTCACCTCCCTTCAGGCTTCTCCAGATTTGCCCCCGTTTTTCTCCCTCTTTGTCCCATCTCCAAAGAAATGGTGTCTTTTCATCATCAAGGTCCATCCCTTGCTCCTTGAATACACTCCAGGCCCAGTGGAACAGGCATCCTGTGGGGTGCACGGACAGGGTGCCTGGGGAACACCCAGGGCACAGAACCCAGACCGGGGGTTTGGAGAAGGTGTCCTAGCAGAAGTGATGTCTAAGCTGAGGCCCTACAGATAAGAGAAAGTAAGCAGATGAAAGGGCTGGGGAGGGTGGCATTTCAGGCCTACACAACCACACGCGTGTTCTTCAGCCATCTCCATGGCCTCACTGCCCACCTGGTATCAGCCGGCCACCACCCGGCTAGAACGGCTTTCAAAATCGCTGCTCGTCTACTCCTCACCAAATCTTGTCTTCACTTGGTGCTCAGAGCCCATCACCTTTCTGCAAGTATTATTTTTTTTTTTTTGGAGATGGAGTCTCGCTCTGTCACCCGGGCTGGAGTGCAGTGGTTCAATGATAGCTCACTGCAACCTTGAACTCCTGGGCTCAAGATCCTCTTGCCACAGCCTCCCAAAGTGCTGAGATTACAGGCACAAGCCACCATGCGTGGTCCTTGCTGCAACTTTTTTTTTTTTTTTTTTTTTTTTTTTGAGACAGAATCTCGCTCTGTCGCTCAGGCTGGAGTGCAGTGGTGTGATCTCGGCTCAATGCAACCTCCGCCTCCCGGGTTCAGGTGATTCTCCTGCCTCACCCTCCTGAGTAGCTAGGAACACAGGCGCTCACCACCACATCCAGCTAATTTTTGTGTTTTTAGTAGAGCCGGGGTTTTGCCATGTTGGCCAGGCTTCTCTCAAACTCCTGACCTCGGGCGATTGGCCCGCCTCGGCCTCCCAAAATGCTGGAATTACAGGCATGAGCCACCGTGCCTGGCCATTTGCTGCAACTTTTGACACTGCTCCCCCTGCTTTTCTTCCCCTCTCTGACCTCCTTTCTCTGCTGTCCTTTCGTTCCTTCCTCTGCCACTGAAGTGTCCTTCTCAGGTCCTTCTCAAGGTTGTGACCTTACAGCTGTCTCTTCACTTCCAGTCATTTCTTTCATAATCACTTTGACATCCTTATTTTCATCTCCTGCCCTGGCCTCTCCCAGGGACCAGGACCATGCATTCAGCTCCTGGGGGCATCTCAAGCTTGTTGTGTGTGAGCCTGCCCTTGTTGTCTTCTCCGTCACCTCTTCACAGCTTGCTCTGCATTTCACCTCCTTTCCTGTTTTCCCCAGTGATCGCATCTCTACAGCGGCTCTCACTTCATCCCCTTCTCTCCTAGAGGAGTGATGCGGAGTCTCATTAATCCTTGCTTATGTCATTCTTCCCCCTTCTCTGTCCATCACCTCCACATGTCCTGTTCCCCCATGCGTCCTACACTGTAGCCAGGTGGGTATTTCCTGTGCTGGTCTTAGACACCCCCTGAGGATACCCTGCTTCAGGCGAGAGCCCCTCAGTGACTCCCTGTTGTCCGGAATGACGTCCAGCTCCTTGGACAGGCCCCAGTGTATTCACCTGTCTCATCTCCTTCTTTTCGTTTTGTTTGTTTTTCTTAACTTCCAGCCCGATTTCTGAATCATCTCCCTCTTGCCCCTCCCATTGCCTTTGCTTAAGACTAAATGCTCCTTCCTCCCAAGTCCCCACTGCCCAGATTTCAGCAGGGTCCATCTCAAACATGTCTGTCTCCAAGAAACTGCCTCTGATTTTTTTCATAAGAAGACACCTGTCCTCTCTGACTTCATCTGTACCCCTCTCTTGGAAGTCACTATCTTGTGCCTTGCATTTTCGTTGTTTAAGTGGTCTCCATTTCCCAGCATATCTTGAGGTCAAGGGTTCAGGTCATTTTATCTTTGTCTATGCATTGCAATATGGGGGTTTTTACATATTAGCTGCTCAATAAATCGGTGTTGAATAAAGGCATGTGTATGCTTTCATTAAGACTATGAAACCCACAAAAATCAGTGGTTTTCCTATTTCACCCTTAGAAAACAAACCCACAACATAGCACAACCTGATAATCAGAGCTAAGAACAAACATCATGCATATTAATCTAAATTCTATCTTTATCAACTTTCACAAGTAATTCGTATTTCCCTGTCTGCATCACGGGGATGATTCTGGCCAGACATTGACCTTGGTAAAATTTCCTCCAGATTATGAGAAATCAAGTCAAATATGCCAAGTAACATAGTTTCTACTTAGAGTCAGGTTCATGTTTTAGCAGGAACCTCAAATACCACAAAATCTGTCAAGTTCTAACATTTGTATCTCTCGACAGTACCTGAAGTTCCTGTTTCTGTTTCCTCAGCCCAGGTTTCCAATTCAGTGAGCAGAACGGTGACTGTGTTGGTAAAAGAGCCCACATACCTGCCCGATCCTGCAGGAGTGTTGCAGATGCAAACAGGCGGGTCTCCACATGACCTGCGGAGTAATGACTAGTGTCCCTAAAGTCATGGGGCTTCTGGGGTTAGCCTTGAAAAAAGCTAAAGGTTGCATAGAGAGAGATTTCTATCCGTTCAGAGACTCACTATAATTCTCTCTTTCTGTCTCTGTCCTTCATCTGTTTCTCTCTTTCTCTCTCACTCTCTCTCTCTGATAAACACACACACACACACACACTCACACTCACACACTCCTGAGTAAGGGAAATGTGAGAAGAAGGTAAAACTTCAACTAAATGAAAAGAAATTGTATGAATTATGGTAAGCAGGTTGGTTTTTAGTTCCAGTAAAGATAGAAATATTTAGATTACTTAGGAGAAAAGTCTAGCTGGTAACACATGGGAATGTGCCTGTGTGAAAACAAAACAAAACAAAAAATCTAGGCTTGTGGTTAGGTGAAGGTATGTACACTGCTGAGACATGGCGATGGGTGAGCTTGGGATGAGGAGAAAGGCTTCTCTGAGAAGATTAAGAGAGAAAGATTGTTTAAAAATGTTTAAAACATGCTGGGCACTGTGGCTCACACCTGTAATCCCAACACTTTGGGAGGCCAAGGTGGGCGGATCATGAGGTCAGGAGTTCGAGACCATCCCGGCCAACATGGTGAAACCCTGTCTCTGCTAAAAATACAAAAATTAGCCAGGCGTGGTGGCGGGTGGCTGTAGTCCCAGCTACTTGGGAGGCTGAGGCAGGAGAATGGCGTGAACCCAGGAGGCGGAGATGCAGTGAGCCGAGATTGTGCCACTGCACTCCAGCCTGGGCGACAGAGCAAGACTCCGTCTCAAAAAAAACAAAAAAACAAAAAAAAAACACACATTGACACCAGGACGGAGTTAGCACATCTTTACAGGTGAGACTCTCAGACCCGAGAAAATAGAGGCACTTTAGAGCTGAGCTAATCCCACAGCCACCTCAACACACAAACGGGGAATCTGAGACCCGCATTGGCACCGTGCCTGAGGTTCTAAAGCCCAGGGCTTCTGACTCGCCTCTTGTGCTTCTTCAGTACTGTGGGTGGGGGTGGGGTGGGGGGTGACATTAGCTGATGAGAAAGATTTTGGTTTTAGAAAGATGGAGTTAACATAAACGAAGGTGTACTGGGACTGGTCTCCTCTGCTGACTTCATGGGAAGCACACACACGCGCACACACACACACACACACACACACACACATACACACACCTGTCCAAGATCAGAAAAAATCCCTCACATCCCTGTAGCATGATCCTGATTGTAAAAATGGAGCCCTAATCAGAAGGGCAGAAGCATGATTGCCTCTCAAGAGATTTGGACGCCACTTTTTCATAGTTGGTTTTAGCTGCTTTGCGATATATACTGAAATAAATAGAAAAGGGAAAGAATTGTAACCTGGATTGACAGACAACAAGCCCTGACAGACAAAAAGCAGATAAGAAATAAAATAAGGAAGATAACCCATAATGTAAAATAAAAATAGCACATTGTTGCATGCATTGATACCCTTTTTTTTTTTTCTTTGAGATCTTGCGCTGTCTTTCAGGCCGAAGTACAGTGTCTCAATCATAGCTCACTGCAGCCTCCAGCTTCTGGGCTCAAGCAATCTTCCCATCTCAGCCACCCAAGTAGCTGGGGCTGCAGGCACGAACTATGGTGCCCAGCTGATAATTTTTAAAAATAGGGACATTAGTGCATTTAGCAAATTTGAGTGTCTGCTGTGTATCAAGCACTGTTCTGGGCACTGGGACAGCACAGGGAGCAAATAAACAAAAGCCCCTGCGCTCAAGGTGCTCGTATTCTAGAGGGAGATGCTGAGTTCACCTCCCATTAAAATGCCATTCTCAAGATCCAGTCCCTCCACCCACCCCAGCCCCCAGGGTTTTGGTGGAAATTTAACTAAGTTGGAAGATTGATAATATCTCCATTCACATTTGGATATGATTTTAATGAAGGTTGCTTTTTGGTTTTTAGGGAGAAGAAAATGGCTTTCCAGATAGCACTGGAGATCCTCTTCCAGGTAAATGATTGATTCTAAAGCTATCTGGGCTAATAGCTAGTGTGGCTGAATAAAAGATAATTTGAGGCCAGGGTCGGTGACTCATGCCTGTAATTCCAGCACTTTGGGAGGCCAAGGTGGGCGGATCACCTGAGGTCAGGAGTTCAAGACCAGCCTGGCCAACATGGTAAAACCCCGTCTCTACCAAAAATACAAAAATTAGCTGGTTGTGGTGGGCGCCTGTAATCCCAGCTACTCGGAGGCTGAGGCAGGAGAATCGCTTGAACCCGGGAGGCGGAGGTTGCAGTGAGCCAAGATCACACCACTGCACTCCAGCCTGGACAACAGAGCGAAACTCCATCTCAAAAAATTAAATTAAATAAAATAAATAATTTGAGACTATGTTTATCATTAACTTTAAAATCTGTACTGCAGAATAGAGCAACTTTCTACCTGCGGTGCACTGCAGGGAAAGCCGTATCTTACAAGACTTCACAAAAGCCTTCAAAGAGTATTTTCTCTGCACTAACCTTCCTTTGCATGTGAGGGGCACGGCAGGGTTCTGAATGGGGCAGGTTTAGGATCAGGCCAGTCGGGACTGAGTGGATTCTTCTTCCCTCTGAGTTCTAAGAGCCATAGCATTGGTGGAGAACATGCTGTTTGTTGCTTGGTGGAAGGGACCAGAAGCCAGCTGGGTCATCTCTCTGTTTGTGCCTTGGCCACTTAGGTAGCCAAAGGAGCCCTCCTGACATTAGGTCAGGTGTTAGTCCCTCTCCTTTTCTGCTTTTAGTGTGTTTAAGCAAATAAACATTAAAGTTCATTTCTCCCCGCTCCCCTTTTTTAATCATAAGACAGACATGTTTGCAATGTTTAAATTTCTCATTAATCAGAAGGGATAGGGAGTGAGGGAGTAAGCATTAAAATAAGCTAGCAAATGGCCAGGTGTGGTGGCTCACACCTGTAATCCCAGGACTTTGGGAGGCCAAGGTGGGCAGATCACTTGAGGCCAGGAGTTCAAGACCAGCATGGCCAACATGGCAAAACTCCATCTCTACTAAAAATACAAAAATTAGCCAGGCGTGGTGATGGGCACCTATAATCTGAGCTACTCGGGAGGCTGAGGCAGAGAATTGCTTGAACCCGGGAGGCAAAGATTGCAGTGAGCTGAGACTGCACCACTGCATTCCAGCCTGGGTGACAGAGCAAGACTCCATCTCAAAAAAATGCTAGCAAAATAATAATAATAATAATAATAAAACATACCTCACCAACATTTTCTACATCTTGTAAAGCATACATTGACTGACTGAAGTCACCAGAGTTTTGTTTCTTTCTTTCTTAAGCAGGGTGGGGAACCCGTAGAGCCCTCAGGGGCAGCTATCATCAGCCCAGGTAACCAAGCTGAAAAACCAGAAGGTGCAGTGCGTACTCAACTTTTTCCCCTTAGAAACACGATATTAGAAAATACACCAATACCAACATGTGAGCAACAGTTCTCTCTGGAAGGTGCAGTTCTGGGTGATTTTTTTTTCATTCCATAGATTTTTTTTTTCTTGAGACGGAGTTTCGCACTCTTGTTGCCTAGGCTGGAGTGCAATGGTGCGCCACCACGCCCGGCTAATTTTTGTATTTTTAGTAGAGACGGGGTTTCACCATGTTGGCCAGGCTGGTCTCGAACTCCTGACCTCAGGTGATCCACCTGCTTCGGCCTCCTAAAGTGCTGGGATGACAGGTGTCTCACTATGTTGCCTAAGCTTTTCTCGAACCCCTGAGCTCAAGCCTCCTCCCACCTCAGCCATCCAAAGTGCTGGGATTACAGGCATGAGCCACCACGCCTGGTGAGTTTTTATTTTCTTTCCACTATCCTATATTTCTAAAATTTCTAACATGAGCTGGTATCAGAACTGCCCCTCCGCATTTAATCTGTGTATACAAATGTATATATAACAAATGATCACATGTTGGTAAGTATACCTTGCTGCATGGTGAAATAACCAAGGAAACTTCTAAAAGGTTAACTGTGGTTGGCCTGGGTAATGGGAGCATTAATTTTTTCCATATGCTCATCTGAATTTTCAGATTTGCTATGACAAGCACATATTTATTTTCTAATTTTAAAAATCTATATTTAAACTCTTTAAAGACTAACACCCTACACACTAATGTGGCACGTTAGCTAAAATAAAAATAAATACAGAAATTTGTTTAGAAATATTTGTAAACCCTTCAAGGACTCTTCTGAATGATAGTCATTATTAATTAGCAGGTTAATTTTAATCAGGCTTCTGGTCATCTTCAAACATTTTTTACTTGTGTCAAAATGAACCACCAGAGTGTGGGTTTTTTTGTTATTTTTTTTGTTTTTTTGAGACAGAGTTTCACTCTTGTTGCCCAGGCTGGAGTGCAATGGCGAGATCTCGGCTCACTGCAACCTCTGCCTCCTGGGTTCAAGCAGCTCTCCTGCCTCAGCCTCCTCCTGAGTAGCTGGGATTACAGGCGCCCACCACCACACCCAGCTAATTTTTGTATTTTTAGTAGAGATGGGTTTTGCCATGTTGGCCAGGTTGGTCTTGAACTCCTCACCTCAGACGATCCACCCACCTCAGCCTCCCAAAGTGCTGGGACTACAGATGCACACCACCACACCCGGTTAATTTTTGTATTTTTAGTAAGGACGGGGGTTCCCCATGTTGGCCAGGCTGGTCTCAAACTCCTGACCTCAAGTGATTCACCTGCCTTGGCCTCCCAAAGTGCTGGCATTACAGGCCTCCGCCACCGCACCCAGCCCAACCTGGGTCCTTTTGTATGTGAGAGTTTGCTTGTTTTTTTCACGTGCTTTCTCTACTCCAGTTTTATTCTATGACAAAATTGAGGCCCAACATGATTTACTTGCCTGGATCCACCCAACCTGTCAGTTACTTCCCAGTGCTGCTGCCAACTTAATGTCTCCTTAAAAGGATGCTTTAGAGAAAACGAAATCATGTTGTTTTTCCCCTTTGGTTAAGAGATCAAACGCCCACCAAAAGCCCTTGGGTCAGTTTCTTAGTAGATAAAAATAATTCTTCGTCACTTTCTGAAAGCGGCTAACATATAACCCTTATGATGAATAATGTGGTGTGTGTGTGTGTGCGCGCCCCAAATTCCAATGAGTTATCAAAGCCAGAAACTTATATTTTAAATATGTTTATTTCCCAACCACACTGGAAACCACACACAGAAAAAAAAAAAAGCATGATTATACCCCCTTAATAACCGTTACTGCAGAAGGATGTGACTCTCCTTCAACACTTGTTGGTATTTTACAGCCTCCAAATCTGACCATGTATAACCACCTGGGATAGAGTTATTTTATTTCAGAACCATAATACTTAGCTATCTCGGAAGTTGCCAATATAAAATGTTTACTCTCTAATGGTTTTGAACTAACTCAAGACCTGGTTATCCCGGGGAGCATCCTTACAAATGATCTGAGAGCTAACAGTCCTCTTGCAGCAGTGGAGGGAAACACTCCCGTGGCAATCACTCTCCAAAAGCCAGAATGTGCAAGATAAAAGGGCACCTTCCCTGCAGGGAGGCACATTAAGTCAGTCTGTGATCTGCTGCCAACATCCTGACTGGAGCCGTTTCTACGCCTAACTAATCATGACGTTTGTGAATTGTGAAGCTTGTTGCAATTCACAATTAACTGTTAATTGACCCATATTTTATAACCCGCCAGCCATGAACTTACAAGTTAGATACAGACACTACCAGACATTCACTATTTTTTTTTACAATTGTTTTAAATGACATTAATGAGCATGCTTGATTCCTGAACTCTTCTTTACAGTATAATTTTAAAATATTTGAGTGGGATACGATGGAGAGGAGGGAGGTGGGGGAAGAAATGCCCCATGGAAAACCCACTCATCAGGTTGAGAGTGTGGAGAAGCCCTGTGTATCTGAGAACTCTTAATCATCCACAGACATGGTATCTCTCAAAGAGAAGTGGGTGTAATTCCAAAATCTAATTTTGGCAGGCGCTCCTGACTAAATACTTAATCTGGAGATGTCTTCAAGGCAGGCGGAGGTTTTCAGTCCTGGCTGCACATTAGAAGTCCCAGGGGAGCTTTAAAAAATTCCCACGTCCTCCCTGCATCCCAGACTAATTAATCGGGATCTCCGAGGGTGGGACCACACATCAGGGTTTTGTAAATTTCCCTGGGGGTTTGGTGGGGTTGGGGGTGGAGGCGTCTATCCTATGGCCAAGGTTGAGAACCACTGCTTTTTAAAAGACTGTTTGCTTGTTTTTGAGATGGGGTCTCGCTCTGTCACCCAGGCTGGAGTGCAGTGGCGCAATCTCAGCTCACTGCAACCTCTGCCTCCTGGGCTCAAGCAATTCTCCTGAAAAAGGCTGTTGGTTATTAATGCTTCCCCACAGCTATTCTATTCATTGTTGCATGCTTCTTACGTGTGCTAGGATGGGAGCTTTAAAGGATTACCTCATTTAATCCTCACAACCACCTTGTGAGAGAGGTGTCATTATCCCTGTTTGGAGAGTGAGACAGGGGCTTAGCAAGCTCAGTAACCTGTCCAAGTCACACATCTGCATGGGGTTAGCTGCTGCTAAAGCTCATGCCGTTAATCTCCATGGTACACGGTGTCCTCTCCATAGCAATCTTGCGGCTGCCTTGTTAACACCAAAAAAACTTGCATCAGCTGGTTTGACAATTTCTAGATAAAGAGCTCTTTTCGGGCTGCTAAGAAGCCTAATTTTTCATTTGATTTTCTTCTTGAACTGTGTCACACTCCTCATTCATTTGATATATTCATCAAATACTTATTGAGCACCTGCTGTGTGCCTGGTGTGCAGCAGTGACACCAGACATCCAAAGTCCTTTTCCTCTTAGAGCTTATTCTATCTGGGAGAGACAGATAATAAACACAAAATCAGTAAGTCATTTTATATGGTGGTAGGTGCCTTGAGGAAGATGAGCCAGGTTAATGGGATTAAGCCTGGTAGGGGGAGGGTGCCACTTTAGCTCGGAAAGGGTAGCGAGACCCAAACAATGCAAAGGACCCGGCCCGTGGAGATCTAAGACAGGAGGATGCCAGGGACAGGAAGTTGCTGGGGCAAAGCCCCTGAGGCTGGACTGAGCTCAGTGTTCTAGGACGGGCGTGGGCAGTGAGGAGCAGCAGAGGAGGTGAGCTGGGAGATAGCCTGGGGACTCTTTCTTCTGCCTCCTTCAAAAAATAAAACTAGCCAGGTGTGGTGGCTCACACCTGTAATCCCAACAATTTGGGAAGCTGATGTAGGTGGATTGCTTGAGTCCAGGAGTTCGAGACCAGCCTGGGCAACATAGTGAGACCCCTCCCCCATTTCTACCAAAAAATCAAAAAATTAGCTGGGCCCGGTGGCGTGCGCCTGTGGTCCCAGCTACTCAGGAGGCTGAGGTGGGAGCGTTGTTTGAACCCGGGAGGTGGAGGCTGCAGTGAGGCGTGATTGTGCCACTGTACTCTAGCCTGGGTGACAGAGTGAGACTCTGTCTCTAAATAAATAAGTAAATCTAGAACCTAACATCTTGGAGTGCAGTGGCACCACCATGGCTCACTGCAGCCTCAATCTCCTGAGCTAATCGAGCCTCCCCTTCAGCCTCCTGAGTAGCTGGGACTATAGGCGTGCACCACCATACCTGAATAATCAAAACCTAACATCTTTAAAGAACATTGGCATAAGACTTGGCAAAAATGGCATCTTGTCCCTCATCTCATTTAGTCCAAGCGATACAGGAAATGCTGCCACCTCCATTTTATAGATGAGGAGTCTGACGTTCCTAGAGGTTCAATGCCCTGAAACGTCAAGCCTTGAGGAAGTTGGAGCACTGGGATTCGAAGAGCACCATCCAATACAGACCCAGAATCAGGATGATTTGGGATTATGCTTGTCAAGGACTCAGGGCAGGGCTACCATACATTAGGCACAAGAATTTTGATAGTGATAATTACTGTGTTCATTGTCACTTCATCATGACAGTTACCGTGATGATAAGAAACCTGGCCCTTCTTCACCTGACAAAGGCTTTCTTCGTTTGAGCCACTGCTCAAACGAGACTGACCAAGAATAAATCCTCGGGGCTTTGGCCTTTAAAATAGGAAGTCATCATAAATGACTTGATGTGGTGTGTTTCATTCTTGCTTTGCACCAGTGGAAAATATACAGGTCAAGCATCAAAACATGGCAAATGGGGACCCCAATTATTAGAGAATCTAAGTTAATTTTTATGTATAATTAATTATTCAACAACCCTCTCCTCTCCAAACCAATAATTAATCCATCTTTTGTATTTTAAGACCAATTCTGTAGTATTTTCCATCAATATCTATTTACTGCTAGCAGATATCAGCTACATTCTTTCTCCTTTAATAGAAGTTCCCTCTTTAGGTATTAAGATTCATTAAACAACAATAACAAATCTACCTTGCCTCCCAGGGACAATGCACAGTTCTCATTCATTTGTTCATTTAGCAGATAATTTTTGAATTTCCACTGTACAGCAGCCCTGTGCTTGTGGTTGGCCTGTTATTTGAGAAGCATCAAATAATAATCTCATTTTTTGGCTGGGTGTGATAGCTCACGCCTGTAGTCCCAGCACTTTGGGAGGCTGAGGCGGGTGGATCACTTGAGGATGGGCGTTGGAGACCAGCCTGGCTAACATGGTGAAACCTCGTCTCTATTAAAAATACAAAAATTAGCCAGGTGTGGTGGCAGACACCTGTAATCCCAGCTACTCGGGAGGGTGAGGCAGGAGAATCGCTTGAACCTGGGAGGCAGAGGTTGCAGTGAGCCGAGATCGCCCCATTGCACTCCAGCCTGGGCAACAAGAGCGAGACTCCGTCTCAAAAAACAAAACAAAACAAGACAAAAAAAAACCCAACAAATAAAATAAATAATCCCATTTTTCTCCATTTTTGAGAAAGATTTCTTTGGTCTGAAGTCTTTCTCTCCCCTCTCCGAGGCATTACCCAGTTTAACCTTTCATGTATAATATATATGATAGTTATTTAAAGTATAGCAGGACAAAATGTATTTGATAGGAGAAAACCTTGTTTGCTCTGTGTTAAGTCCTCCAGAGAGCTAATTAGAGTTTGTGATTCTAAAAGGCAACTATAGATTCACTTATATTAGCAGTTCATGTAGATTCCAGTTAAGGAAATGGTTTGTCACTTGTGTTATTGAAAACACACACAGGGCGAGCACTGTGGCCCATGCTGGTAATCCCAGCGTTTTGGGAGGCTGAGGTGGGCAGATCACGGGGTCAGGAGTTTGAGATCAGCCTGGCCAACATGGTGAAAACCCGTCTCTACTATAAATACAAAAAATTAGCTGGCAGTAGTGGCAGGCGCCTCTAATCTCAGCTACTCGGGAGGCTGAGGTAGGAGAATCGCTTGAACCCAGGAGTCGGAGGTTGCAGTGAGTCGAGATCGCACCATTGCACTCCAGCTTGGGCAACAAGGGCAAGACTCCGTCTCAAAAAAAAAGAAAGAAAACACACACACAAAAAAACTTTAGTAGATCTTTCGGCATATTATTTTTTAAAATAAACTGATAATGGTTGATATGATTGTTCAAAGAAATAAGAGCTTTTCATAAACTCAGTTTAAAGAAACTTTACAGGCCGGGCGCGGTGGCTCATGCCCGTAATCCTAGCACTTTGGGAGGCCAAGGCGGGTGGATCACCTGAGGTCAAGAGTTCGAGACCAGCCTGGCCAACATGGTAAAAGCCTGTCTCTATTAAAAAATACAAAAATTAGCCAGGTGTGTTGGCTGGCGCCTGTAATCTCAGCAACTCAGGAGGCTGAAGCAGGAGAATCGCTGGAACCTGGTAGGCAGAGGTTGCAGTGAGACAAAATCGTGCCATTGCACTCCAGCCCCAGCTGACAACAGCGAGACTCCATCTCAAATAAATAAATAAATAAATAAATAAATAAATAAATAAAGGAGCTTTACAGAAACCTTCTGATGTTTTTTTCTTCTTGACGATAACATTGCCAACACTGAATCTTACAAAGATAAGACAAGAAAGGGACCTTCAGACACCATTACATGTAATTCTGGACTTAGTGGTTTAAATCCTTATTTTTCTATGACATTAAAAAAATGTATATTTTAGGCCAGGCACAGGGCTCACACCTGTAATCCCAGCACTTCGGGAGGCCGAGGCAGGTGGATTGCTTCAGCCCAGGAGTTCAAGAGCAGCCTGGGGAACATAGTGAGACCCCTGTCCCTACAGATTTTTTTTTTTTGTTTGAGATGGAGTTTTGCTCATGTTGCCTAGGCTGGAGTGCAGTGGCACGATCTCGGTTCACTGCAACCTCTGCCTCCTGGGTTCAAGCAATTCTCCTGCCTCAGCCTCCCAAGTAGCTGGGATTACAGGCATGTGCCACCACACCCGGCTAATTTTGTATTTTTGGCAGAGACTGGGTTTCTCCATGTTGGTCAGGCTGGTCTTGAACTCCCAACCTCAGGTGATCTGCCTCCCTCAGCCTCCCAAAGTACTGGGATTACAGGCGTGAGCCACCTTGCCCAGCCTACAAAAAGTTTTAAAAAATTAAAAAATTAGTTGGGCATGGAGGTGCATGCCAGCTACTCGGGAGGCTGAGGCAGGAGGATTGCTTGAGCCCATGAAGTGGAGGCTGCAGTGAGCCATAATTGCAGCACTGCACTCCAGCCTGGGCCATAGAGCAAGACCCTGTCTCAAAAATATATATAGTATCCAAATAAACACAATAATTACAGAAAATTGAAAAGTGCCCATAAGCAAAAAAAAAAAAAAGAAAAAATTAATCACCTGCGTTCTCATCACCCAGAATTAACCATTGTTAATATTTTTGTTATAGATCCTTCCAAACTTTTCTCCATGCTTGTGATTGTATTTATTATACATGATTTACAGGGATATAAACGACTGTATTATTAGTCATTAGAAGAACTGGATTATGGCCGGGCACGGTGGCTCACACCTGTAATCTCAGTACTCTGGGAGGCTGAAGTGAGCAGATCATGAGGTCAGGAAATCGAGACCATCCTGGCTAACAGAGTGAAACCCCGTCTCTACTAAAAATACAAAAAATTACCTGGGCGTGGTGGCAGGCGCCTGTAGTCCCAGCTACTCGGGAGGCTCAGGCAGGAGCAGAGATACCTATCTGTTCTCAGGATTTTAAGGTGTTGCGCGGAAATAAGAAAACCGTACAGTGTTTCTCACTACAAAGCAGGGTCAGGAGATGCAAACAAACTGATGTGGGGGTTCCAAGTGAGGTGGAATTCCAGACAGGGGCCGGGAAGACTTCGTGGAAAGGGAGAATCTGAGGTGGGTTTTCTAGGATGGGTAAAGTTCATTAGAGGAAGAGAAGTGCAACAGAGGAAGTTCGGTGAGAGGTAGAGGGAAGGCGTTCTGATCATGAAGGAAACACTAGAAAAGGTATGGAGATAGAAAAAGATAAGGCCTGATTTTTTAACCTACCACTTAAAAAAAATCCTTGAAAAGAGATTTTTAAAACGAATACTTGGTGCTGACAAAGGTGAAATGACCGGGCGCGGTGGCTCACACCTGTAATCTCAGCACATTGGGAGGCTGAGGCGGGCAGATCACTTGAGCTCAGGAGTTTGAGACCAGCGTGGCCAACATGGCAAAACTCCATCTCTACTAAAAATATAAAAATTAGACGGGTGTGATGGTGGGTGCCTGTAGTCCCAACTACTCAGGAGGCTGAGGCAGGAGAATTGCTTGAACCCGAGAGGCGGAGGTTGCTGTGAGCTGAGATTGTGCCACTGCACTCCAGCCTGGATAGCAGGATGAGACTGTCTCAAAAAAAGAAAGAAAAGGAAAGAAAAAAAAATCCGTACTGTAAACTGGTAAAGGCTTTCTTTCTGGAGAGCAATTTGGGGCACATGCACCAGTAGCCTTAGAAGGCTCATGCTTTTGACCTAATTATCCTATTAGTGGTGAGATGATTAAAGATGTGGCCCCAATTTATGTGAAAGGTATGCATCACATCTTCACTCATAATCAGGAGAGTTGGGGAAAACCCTAGCTGTTAATAGTTTATCCAAAATCCATATATATATGTGTGTGTGTGTGTGTGTGTGTGTGTATGGATTTATATATATATATAAATGGATATATATATATATCTGGATGGATATATAAATATGATATATATATGTGTGTGTGTGTATATATATATGTGTATATATGTATATATATATGATGGAATACTATTTAGCCATAAAAAGGAATGAATTAATGGCATTCGCAGTAACCTGGATGGACTTGGAGACCATTATTATTTTATTTTATTTATTTATTTTTGAGACGGAGTCTCGCTCTGTCACCCAGGCTGGAGTGCAGTGGCTCGAGCTCAGCTCACTGCAAGCTCCACCTCCCGAGTTGACGCCATTCTCCTGCCTCAGCCTCCTGAGTAGCTGGGACTGCAGGCGCCCGCCATCACGCCCAGATAACTTTTTGTATTTTTAGTAGAGACTGGGTTTCACCGTGTTAGCCGGGATGGTCTCCATCTGCTGACCTCATGATCCACCCGCCTCGGCCTCCCAAAGTGCTGGGATTACAGGCGTGAGCCACCGCGCCCAGCGAGACTGTTATTCTAAGTGAAGTAACTCAGGAATGGAAAACCAAACATCGTATGTTCTCACTCATAAGTGGGAGTTATGCTATGAGGACGCAAAGGCATAAGAATGATACGATAGACTTTGGGGACTCAGGGAAAAGGTGGGAAGGGGGTGAAGGATAAAAGATACAAATTGGGTGCAGTGTATACTGCTCGGGTGATGGGTGCACCAAAATCTCATAAATCACCACTAATGAACTTACTCATGTAACCAAATACCACCTGTTCCTCAATAAACCATGGAAATTAAAAAAGAAAAAAGAAAAAGTACCCTGGAAAAAAAATTTCTCCCTGGCCAGTCACGGTGGCTCATACCTGTAATCCCAGCAATTCGAGAGGCTGAGGCAGGAGGATCACTTGAGCCCAGTAGTTCAAAACCAGCCAGTGCAACATAGTGGGACCCTGTCTCAAATAAAATCTAAAAATTAGCCAGGTGTGTTGGTGCATGTCTGTGGTCCCAGCTACTCAGGAGGCTGAGGTGAGAGTATTGCTTGAGCCTAGGAGGTTAAGGCGGCAGTGAGCCGTGATTGTGCCACTGCCATCCAACCTGGGCAACAAAGCAAGACCCTGTCTCAAAAAAAAAGAAAAAAAAAACCTCTCTATTCGCCTTTTAAGAATACCTGGGCTTCTCTGTGTACACTTAAGCTTCATTGGAGTCTTTAGACTTTTTTTTTGCTGTATCTGTCCAGTTACCAAGTCCCAGCTTCTACTCCATGCTCCCCATGCTCTCTTCCTATTTTATTTTCCATGACTGCCTCGGTATAACTTGTGCTCAACCAAACTGGACTACTCAATTCCCTGCATTTTCTTTTTTAAAGTTTAATCAAAAAAAAAAAGAAAACTGGCTGGGCACAGTGGCTTCTGCCCACAATCTCGGTGCTTTGGGAAACTGAGGCAGGAGGATTGCTTAAGGCCAAGAGTTCAAGACCAGCCTGGGTAACATAGCAAGACCTCCATCTCCACAAAAAAATTTAAAAATTGACTGAGTGTGATGGTGTGCACCTAGTCCCAGCTGCTTGGGAGGCTGAGGCAGGAGAATTGCTTGAGCCCAGGAGTTCCAGGTTATGATGAGCTATGACTGTGCCACCGCACTCCAGCCAGGGTAACAGAGTGGGACTGTCTCAAAAAACAAAACAAAATCCCTAATATAATCTCAGTGTGCCTTTTAAGTATGCCATATATATATATATATATATATATATATATATATATATATCACATTTTCTTTATCCACTCATTGATTTTCATGTAGTTCTAATCGTAGAATTCATACATTCTTTCTATCTTCCATCTTTCACATAACATCACAAACATTTTCTAGGTTGCCATATTGTCTTCATAGTTACTTAAATAATATTCCATCAAGTAGCACAATCATTTATTTCACTAGTCCTCTAACTGTAGACATTTTGGTTGTTTTTGAAACTTAATAATGTAAATAACACCGTGATAACAATGTTTATGTAAATTCATATTTTGGATTATCTCCTTAGGGTGGATTCCCAGAAGTCACATTAGTAGGTCAAAGAGTATGAGCCTATTTTCAAGGCTCTTGTTTTATTACCTTTTAATTTCCACTTGCCTCAATATTGCTGGTTTGCTCCCTTATGATCACCAGAGTTACTCCGTCGGTCCAAATTCTTTACCTTCCGAAACTGGGAAGGCCATGACTCAATGTTATATATATAGTAAAGGCTACTATAACCTTCCCCAGAATTTTCCAAGCCAGTGGTCTCTAAAGTGACCTTTGGCTGTTAAAATCTGAATTCAGAGGGTTCATGAGACTCAGTGTTGTTGTAGAATTTAAGCTCCTTAATTTGCCACGTTGTTTAGACACCACTTAATACTTTATTGCAAATGACTTGTCAACGCCTCTCACCTACAAACTTCATCCTCCTACAAATATACCTCCTGCTAATCAAATGAGGCTACAGTTGAGTCTTTAAGTTTCAGTAGAAAGATGGCCCTTCCTCTGGGGTAGGCGCATGCTCTTCATGCTGAAGCTCAGCTGAAAAGCCTCCTGCTGAGTTTTCTGCCTCTTTCCCTCCCACTGCACACACCCCAGGGTGTTGGCGCCACTTCAAAGGGAGCCTGTGGATGAAGAAAACACAGGTAAAGGCAGAGGGCTCATAAGGGGGCCATAAATTTAAAAAGTTAAGATTCCTGGCACTATCAACTCTCACTTGTTTTCAAATATGCATATGGAGTGGATATTCCAGTTTTCATGTCTGTGTTGTTGTTTTTAAAAAAAGACCTTTCAAAGAACTGTGCATTTTTTACAGGCTGACAGGCTGTGTTTGGTGTTAAACTGTCAGGGCTGACTGGTCACTTGGAAAGGGCAAGGGCTGAGGTGCATGCAAGTGTCGGCTGGTTACTCACAGACACAGCAGCCCCTTTTACCCCGGAGAGAGTTCTGTTTGCTGGAGCCCTTATTCTGGCCAGCAGTGTCACAAATGCACACTGTAAGACATAGACAGTCTTGGAAAGAAAGGGAAACTGGCTTTAAAAATTCTTACTCCTTCTAGCAAAGCAATTCATCTTTGGCTATAAAGAATAACACAGCCAGGTGCGGTGGCTCATGCTTGTAATCCCAGCACTTTGGGAGGTCAAGGTGGGCAGATCACTTGAGTCTAGGAGTTCAAGACCAGCCTGGGAAACATGGTGAAACCCCACCTCTACCAAAAAAAAAAAAAAGAAAGAAAGAAAAGATTAGCCAGGTTTGGTGGTACGTGCCTGTAGTCCCAGGTACTCGGGAAGCTGAGGTGGGAGGATCGCTTGAGCCTGGAGGGCGGAGGTTGCAGTGAGCCGAGATCATGCCACTGCACTCCAGCCTGGGCAACAGAGTGACACCCTGTATCAAAAAAAAAAAAAAAAAAGAACAGTAACACATTATTAGAAATGAGCATTCTGAGGCCAGGCACGGTGGCTCATGCCTATAATCGCAGCACTTTGGGAGGCCGAGGCGGGTGGATCACAAGGTCAGGAGATCGAGACCATCCTGGCTAACACGGTGAAACCCCGTCTTTACTAAAAACACAAAAAATTAGCCGGGTGCAGTGGCGGGTGCCTATAGTCCCAGCTACTCAGGAGGCTGAGGCAGGAGAATGGCGTGAACCCCTGGGAGGCGGAGCTTGCAGTGAGCCGAGATAGTGCCACTGCACTCCAGCCTGGGCGAAAGAGCGAGACTCCATCTCAAAAAAAAAAAAAAAAAGAAAGAAACGAGCATTCTGAAATAGTCTTCCATATGATGCTTTTGACAATTCAGCAGGAAAATAAAGGATGTAAGAAATGAATGCATATGTTAGGCCTCTTGTTGACCTGTGGACTAAATTGTTTCTCCCTGCAGAGATCAGCAAGGACAACTCCTGCAAAGAAAACTGTACTTGTTCCTCCTGCTTGCTCCGGGCCCCCACCATAAGTGACTTGCTCAATGATCAGGACTTACTAGACGTGATCAGGATAAAGCTGGATCCGTGTCACCCAACGGTGAAAAACTGGAGGAATTTTGCAAGCAAATGGGGGATGTCCTATGACGAATTGTGCTTCCTGGAGCAGAGGCCACAGAGCCCCACCTTGGAGTTCTTGCTCCGGAACAGTCAGAGGACGGTGGGCCAGCTGATGGAGCTCTGCAGGCTCTACCACAGGGCCGACGTGGAGAAGGTTCTGCGCAGGTGGGTGGACGAGGAGTGGCCCAAGCGGGAGCGTGGAGACCCCTCCAGGCACTTCTAGAGCTCTTCTTCTTCCTTCATTGGCCTCTCCGGATGTTGAAACAACCACAGGTCAAGAAGGAATGTGAATCTGTTGTTTTATAAGAGTTTAGGACAAGGACGTGGAACAGTGGACACTGGTTTTCCCCAAAGCTGGCAGTTTTGTGGAGGGGTAGCTTGTTTCGGTGGTGGATCTCTGTTTATTTTTGCACATCTGTTATAATTTAATATTCAAATCTGGAATTAAGAAAACATATTTTCTAGTATCCTCTAAGGGCCAAAGTCCTACAATCGGAATGGATTCATGCCACGTTGAAGATAAAATTATCCTCTCTCTGAAATACGGTAAAGATTTAAATAGGTCCTGAGACTGTTGATAGCCCCAGACATACCCACAGCATTATATGTAACATCTCTCCTGATCAGTGCCATTCCCACGGTTTCAAAGAAAACAGCTACAAGGAATGCTTACCTGAGTGTCTGCAGCACCCTCCACTTCTCTCCTAGGCAATGAGACCCAGTGGCTAGAAATTCACCATGTCTATTCTCAAGATCCATGCCAGGGAGCTCTTTGACTCTCGTGGGAATCCCACTGTTGAGGTTGATCTCTTCACCTCAGAAGGTCTCTTCAGAGCTGCTGTGCCCAGTGGTGCTTCAACTGGTATCTATGAGGTCCTAGAGCTCCAGGACAATGATAAGACTCGCTATATGGGGAAGGGTGTCTCAAAGCCTGTTGAGCCCATCAATAAAACTATTGCACCTGTCCTGGTTAGCAAGAAACTGAACGTCACAGAACAAGAGAAGATTGACAAACTTATGATAGAGATGGATGGAACAGAAAATAAATCTAAATTTGGTGCAAATGCCATTCTGGGAGTGTCCCTCGCTGCCTGCAAAGCTAGTGCTGTTGAGAAGGGGGTTCCCCTGTACCACCACATCGCCGACTTGTCTGGCAACTCCAAAGTCATCTTGCCAGTCCCGGTGTTCAATGTCATCAATGGCAGTTCTCATGCTGTCACCAAGCTGGCCATGCAGGAGTTCATGGTCCTCCCAGTCGGTGCAGCAAACTTCAGGGAAGCCATGCCCATTGGAGCGGAGGTTTACCACAGCCTGAAGAATGTCATCAAGGAGAAATATGGGAAAGATGCCACCGGTGTGGGGGATGGAGGCGCGTTTGCTCCCAACATCCTGGAGAATAAAGAAGGCCTGGAGCTGCTGAAGACTGCGATTGGGAAAGCTGGCTACACTGATAAGGTGATCGTCAGCATGGACGTAGAGGCCTCCGAGTTCTTCAGGTCTGGAAAGTATGACCTGGAATTCAAGTTTCTCGACGACCCCACCAGGTACATCTCACCTGACTGTCTGGCTGACCTGTACAAGTCCTTCATCAAAAACTACCCAGTGGTGTCTACTGAAGATCCCTTTGACCAGGATGACTGGGGAGCTTGGCAGAAGTTCACGGCCAGTGCAGGAATCCAGGTAGTGGAGGATGATCTCAGAGTGACCAACCCAAAGAGGACAGCCTCGGCCGTGAATGAGAAGAAGTGCAACTGCCTCCTGCTCAAAGTGAACCAGATTCGCTCTGTGACTGAGTCCCTTCAGGCGTGCAAGCTGGCCCAGGCCAATGGTTGGTGTGTCATGGTGCCTCATCATTCTGGGGAGACTGAAAATACCTTCATCACTGACCTGGTGGTGGGGCTGTGACCTGGGCAGCTCAAGACTGGTGCCCCTTGCTGATCTGAGCGCTTGGCCAAGTACAACCAGCTCCTCAGAATTGAAGAGGAGCTGGGCAGCAAGGCTAAGTTTGCCGGCAGGAACTTCAGAAACCCCCCAGCCAAGTAAGCTGTGGGCAGGCAAGCCCTTCAGTCACCTGGTGGCTAATTAGACCCCTCCCCTTGTGTCAACTCCGGCAGCTCAAGACCCCCGAGCAACATTTGTAGGGGCCGCTGCTAGTTAGCTACCCTTGCCCACCGCCGTGGAGTTCGCACCTCTTCCTTAGAACTTCTACAGAAGCAGGTTGCAGTGAGCCGAGATTGCGCCACTGCACACCAGTCTGGAGACAGAGTGAGAGTCCGTCCCAGAAAAAAAAAAAAAAAAAAAGAACTTCTACAGAAGCCAAGCTCCCTGGAGCCCTGTTGGCAGCTCTAGCCTTGCAGTCATGTAATTGGCCCAAATCACCGGAGCCACGTGACCCTCCAGTGTCATCTCCGGGGTGGCCACAGGCAAGATCCCCAGTGATTTTGTGCTCAAAATAAAAAGCCTCATTGACCCATGAGAAAAAAGAAAACAGCAATGAGAAGTGACCCTGTCTTGTTGGTTTATTACTTTTTTTGTTATAAAGTACTTTGGTGAATTAACAGGATGCTAGTATTACATGGTGATACTCTTCAGAACACCTGCCCCATCTTTTTTATGCAAGTATGTTTACAATCAGTGGACTATCAGTAATGTCATTTGCTCAAATATTTTTTAAAGACCTACAGAAACTGATGGTTATTGGGAAAACAGTCAGGAAGTAGTGAGGTAATCAAGGCCATGGGAATAGTGTTTGACAAAGAGAGTACTCCAAATCCCTTTTGGTTACCCAGGACTTTAAAAAAGAGAGTACTCCATCACACCTGTAATCCCAGCACTTTGGGAGGCCGAGGCGGGTGGATCACGAGGTCAGGAGATCGAGACCATCATAGCTAACATGGTGAAACCCCGTCTCTACTAAAAATACAAAACATTAGCCGGGTGTGGTGGCGGGCGCCTGTAGTCCCATCTACTCAGGAGGCTGAGGCAGGAGGATGGCTTGAACCCAGGAGGCGGAGCTTGCAGTGAGCCGAGATAGCACCACTGCACTCCAGCCTGGGCGACAGAGCAAGACTGTGTCTCAAAAAAAAAAAAAAAAGAGTGCTCCAAATCTCCTTTGGTTACCCGGGACTTTAAAAAATTTAATGTGATAGTTAGGCCGGGTGTGGTTGCTCACGCCTGTAATCCTAGCACTTTTGGAAGCTGAGGCGGGTGGATCATTTGAGGTCAGGAGTTGGAGACCAGCCTGGCCAACATGGCGAAACCCCGTCTCTACTAAAAATACAAAAATTAGCCAGGCGTGGTGGTGGGCGCCTGTAATCCCAGCTCCTCGGGAAATTGAGGCACTAGAATTGCTTGAACCCAGGAGGTGGAGGTTGCAGTGAGCCGAGATTGCGCCACTGCACTCCAGCCTAGGCAACAGAGCGAGGTTCCATCTCAAAAAAAAAAATTGTAATAATAATAATAACAATGTAATATTTACTTTTTCATCCTTTATATAAGGCTGAGTGCTTCACCCCTGAGATGAAGCTCAGTTAAGAAATAAATGAAAATCCCGTAACCTATTGGTGAAAGGTAACCACCCCCAGCTCCTACTAGCCCAACTTAAAACAGGACCCCATCACACTACACAGCAGTTTAGCCAAGAAAAGGGGGTCTTTATGTGGACACTGGGAGGGAAGGGATTCCTTCAAATCCAAACTTTAAAGGATTTTAAACAAATGAAACATTTGGTTCAAAGAATAGCTGATGTTTTTATTTGATGATTTTGGAGAAAGGAAAGTGTGGGGCATAATGGGGTTTGTTATTGGAAAGATCAGATTTTCTAGGTAATTTGGGTGGAGAAAGACAAAAGGCAAAGCTTTGACTGACAATTCCATGAAAGTGCTATTTGGTTTTGGTTATGGGCTTAGAAAATTAAGACACTTAGTTCAATTTGGAAGGATTCTGTATAAGTCCCTGATTAAAATAAGCAAAAATGATGAATAACACTGATTCAGTGCAACCGAAAGATTAGGATTAACTCAAAAGAAAGTTATTTTCTAAACCACCGTGATTTTTTCCACTGACAATTACAGCGGTTTTCATTAGGTTGCTGACACATGAAGTCAGCCTCACCATCAGTTGCAAACTCTAAACTAGCAAAATCTATTACAGAGACATACTTATCACTTCTGATTTAGTGCTAATCTCACCCAGCTCATCTTCTCTTGTCAGATTTATGAGATAAATGTCAGATTTATCACCAGATATATTGAAAGTAACAGCCAGTAATAAAATGTGAGATTTTAAAAAATAGATTCTTTGGCAAATTGGTGTTCAGTGAGGCAATTATTAAACATTTTTGTCAGCCAGGTTCCAGGCACTGTACAGAAGCTGTTAGGAGTTCTCACCATCTACGAATTTGATTTGATGTATTGTATTCTCATTAAGCTATGTGTGACACATTGTCATTTATTAGCCCAGAATTTAAAAAGCTGTGGTTGTTTAGTGTTGGTGGTAGCAGACCCCAGCAGTCTGATGGTCTGCACTCCTTCCATCCTGCCACCCCCTGGGGATGCAAAGACTGGATCTCAGGGTGACAATCTTCTTGCGCACGACTGCCTGGCCAAGTGCCTCCAGAAAGCCCCTTCCTTCCCCCATTTCCACCCAGGCCCACTTGTCACCTCAGCCTAACACCAGCCTGCACAGTCTACGGCCACCATCCAGGCAGTGGGAGAGGGAAAGGGG